>NC_000003.12:130978301-131129816 GCF_000001405.40 Homo sapiens | reverse complement strand
GTATTGGAGAGAAAAAAAATCAATAAAACAGAATAGAGAGCCCAGAAATAAAACTGCGTGAATACAGTCAACTGATCTTTGACAAAGAAGCAAAGGCAATGCAATGGAACACAGTCGTTTCAACAAATGGTGCTGGAACAACTGGGCATTCATATACAATAGATGAATCTAGACACAGACCTTACAGCCTTTGCAAAAATTAACTCAAAAATAAATCATAGGCCTAAAAAATATAAAACTATAAAACTGCTAGAAAATAATATGTGATAAAATCTAGATGATTTTAAGTTTGGTGATAACTTTTTAAATATAACACCAAAGTCACAATCCATGAAAGAATTGAGAAGCTAGACTTTATTAAAATAAAAAATTTCTGCTCTGTAAGAAAACACTGTCAAGGAATAAAAAGATAAGCCACAGACTGGGAGAAAATATTTGCAAAAGACGTATCTGATAGACTGTTGGCCGGGTGCAGTGGCTCAAGCCTGTAATCCCAGCACTTTGGGAGGCTGAGGCAGGCAGATCACAAGGTCAGGAGATCGAGACCATCCTGGCTAACGTGGTGAAACCCCATCTCTACTAAAAATACAAAAATAAAATTAGCCAGGCCTGGTGGTGGGCACCTGTAGTCCCAGCTACTTGGGAGGCTGAGGCGGGAGAATGGCATGAACCTGGGAGGTGGAGCTTGCAGTGAGCCAAGATTGCGACTCTGACACGCCTGCGTGACAGAGCGAGACTCAGTCTCAAAAAAAAAAAAAAAAAAAGACTGTTATCCAAAATATACAAAGAACTATTAAAACTCAACAATAAGAAAATAATCTGGTTTTAAAATGGGCCAAAGACCTTAACAGACACCTAACCAAAGATGATATACAAAAGGCAAATAAACCTGAAAAGATGTTTTACATCATATGTCATCAGAGAAATGAAAATTAAAACAACAATGAAGTACCACTACACACCTATTAGAACGGCCCAAATCGAGACACTGACAACACCAAATGCTCACAAGGATGTGGAGTAACAGAAACTCTCATTCGCTGCTAGTGGGAATACAAAATGGTTCAGCCACTTTGGAAGACAGTTTGGCAGTTTCTTACAAAATGATACAAATGCTTATCACATAATCCAGCAATCATGTTCCTTGGTATTTATTCAAATGAATTAAAAACTATGTCCACACAAAAACCTGCACAATGGTGTTTATAGCAGCTTTATTCATAATTGCCAAAACTTGAAAGCAACAAAAGTGTCCTTCAGTAGCGGAATGGTTAAATAAACCATGGTACATTCACACAATAGAATATTATTTAGTGCTAAGAAGATATGAGCTATTAAGGCATGAAAAGACATGGAAGAAACTTAAATGCATACTACTAAGTGAAAGAAGTCAGCCTGAGAAATCTATATATGATTCCAGCTATATGACAATCTGGAAAATGTTAAACTATGGAGACAACAAAAAGATAAGTGGTTGCCAGGGTTTAAGAGGGAGGGAAGAATGAGTAAGGAGAGCACAGAGAATTTTTAGGGCCATGCAACAACTTTATGATACTAAAATGATGGGTACATGTCATACATGTGCCCAAACTCAAAGAATGTATAGCACTAAGAATGAACCCTAATGTAAACTATAGACTTTGATGATAATGATCTGTCAATGTAGGTTCATCTGTTATAACAAATGTATGACTGGTAGCAATGCTGATAACAGGGGAGGCAATGCATGTGTGGGAGCAGGGGGTATAAGGGAAATCTCTGTACCTTCCACTCAATTTTGCTGTGAACCTAAAACTGCTTTAAAAAATAAAGTTTATTTTAAATTTTTAATCAGAGCTTTGAGTAGATTCAATAAACTTGGATTTCAGGGTCCACAAAGGAAGAGGTATCTTAGTAAAAAACTAAACCCTTCAGCTGAAAGCTCTGAAAAACTTCTTCATAGAAATAAAGGCAAACTGAAAATAGACCAACCCTCCAAAAGCCTACAGCCTACAGTTAAACTATTTCAGTTCCTCATTAGATCAAGGTGATCTGCCCTAAATATAACTGTCAGGCAGAGAAAAGTAATATCATCTAACATCTCTCAATATTTCACATATATTGTTCAGCATTCACTCAAAAACTACCAGGCATACCAAAAGATAAGATCAAATGATTAAAAACCAAAAGAAAAAAAGAGATATAGAAATAAATACACAAGTGATCCACCTATTGAAATTATTGGACAAGGATTTGAAAATAACTGTGATTATTGCTCAAGAAAATAACTGACACAATGGAGAATTTCAATAGAGAGCTAGATTCTATATATTTTCTATATAGAAAATATATATATATTTTTATATGCACTAGGAGTGCATATATATATTTTCTAGGAATCAAATGGAAATTCTAAAACTGAAACAAAATTTTACTAAAATTAAGAATTTAGTGCATATGTTTGAAATCAAATTAGACACAGCAGAAGAGAGGATTTAGAAACTGGAATAATGGTTAGTGAAAAGTATTTCAACTGAGGTGCAAAAAGAAAAAAAGATTAAAAACATAGAAAAGGCTAGGCACAGTGGCTCACGCCTATAATCCCAGCTCTTTGGGAGGCCAAGGTGGGTGGATCACCTGAGGTCAGGAGTTCAAGACCAGCATGGCCAACATGATGAAGCCCATCTCTGCTAAAAGTACAAAAATTAGCCGGGCATGGTGGCAGGCACTTGTAGTTCCAGCTACTCAGGAGGCTGAGGCAGGATAATTGCTTGAACATGGGAGGCGGAGGTTGCAGTGAGCCAGGATCGCGCCACTGTACTCCAGCCTGGGCAACAAGAGTGAGACTCTGTCTCAAAAAAAAAAAAAAAAAAAAAAAGAAAGAAAGAAAGAAAAAGAAAACATAGAAAAGAGTATAAGAGACATCTGAAATACAGGCTTAAAGTTCTAATATATATATAAATGGATTCCTAGAAGGAGTGCATAGCAATGAAGAACAGAATGTGATGGTCTAACATACATCTTTAAGCATTGTAAAAGGAGAATAGGGGAGAAGCAAAATTCAAAGAGAGAATGACGAGGTATTTTCAGAATTTAGAAGTTTTCATGAATTCACAAGCTCAGAAGCAAAAGAAATCCCAAGCAGAATTTAAAACAAAAATCCACAAGTAGACATAACACTGTAATATTGGAAAACACCAAGGACAAAGATGTTGAGAATCAACTGAAAGAAAAGACATTACCTTAATAAGAATGTCTGTTACATGGAAAGTGACTTAACATCAATAACAGAATCCAGAAGACAGTGAGATAACATTTTCAAAATGTCAGATAAAAATCTGTCAATCTGGAATTTCATTTTTAATAATAGCTAAATAATAATACATTTTTAGCTGAAATAGTAGCTAAACTATTATAAAAGGATGAGGAAAAAATAAAAACATTTTCAAACAAACAAACAAAGAAACTGAGTGTTTATCATTCACGTAACTTAAGGATTTGTTTTGGGGAGGAAAAAAAATGACCACAGAAGGAAGACATGGGGTGGAAGAAGAAGTGGTGAACCAAGAGATTGATAAAAGTGGGGAAATCTAAACTAGTTTTGGCTTGTAAACCAATAATAATGGTAGCACTAATTAATAATTTGTGGGGTACATAAAGGAAGTAGAACTGAAATCCTGAATAAAAATAATAGAAAAGAAGGACACAATTGGAGTCAAAGTCTTTAAGAAGAAATTGACTGCAGTGTATCTGTCCTCCTGCTTAAATAGGAGAACCCAGTCTGGGAGCAGTATTCTTGAGCCTTAGGTCAGAAATGGGGTTGTGGCTTTAGAAAATGAAAATCTGTCCTTTAAACACCAACTTAAGTCCTTCAATGGCTCTGCACTGCTTCCAGAATAGAGTCTACAGTTCTATATGTGGCCTGCTAGAGATTTCAAGATCTGGCCCTACCAATGCTTCTGGCAGCCTTAGCAAATGCTTGAGCCACATTTCTATTAATATCATCTCTTCCTCTTCACAGTTCTTCACTCACAGGAGATGCTCAATAAATGCATGTTGGTTTTTAAAACACTATCCTTGGTACAAAGATGAATACTATCTAGTGGGACTCATTCATTAATCCAAAAAACAATTATTGAGTGCCAACTAGATGTTATGTGCTGTACTACATAATGTGACAGATACAAAGATTCATAAGACAAGGCTATGTATCTCATAATGCTTACACTCAGGTTAGAGAGTTTTTTTTAAGTACATCAGCAACTGTAAGAGATGGCAGAAGGGAAACCTAACCACTGTCACTTTACTAAAGAATTATTTATAATTGTAAATAATTACCAATAAAGACATTCACCTGGTCATAAGGAAATATCTCTCTCAGTAAATGATCACTCTCAGTTACATGCCCACCAAATTAATATTACTATTATTAATTAAAACCAGAAATATCAATTATAAAAATAATTTTTACCATTAGAATTAATGATAGTACAAGTGTAATAATGTTACCTTTGTAAAGTGTTCAGGCCTCAACCATCCAGCTTTATTCTGACTAAGCAAATTCTGACTAACAACATTTTAAAGAAAAGTCACTCATAAAGATCATATAGTTTACTTTATAGGACACAAATGGGCAGAAACTCAACCGGGCCTATAAAATCAGCATATAAAGTGAAGAATTGGATATGATAGTGAGAATTTCCCCTAATTCAAATAATCTTTAGCCTCTTTAACCCTTTAGTGGATTAGAGAGGAATAAGTATGTTTCTAAGAATAGAGAGAAAAGAGAAGAGCAAAACTAGACAATGCAACACTAGGCCACTTCATCTTGAGGTCCATAACCCCAGATGCTATAATCCTAAGCACTATACTACTATTTTTTTACTGTTATGCCCAATCTGGAGATGAGGAAATCAAGGCCTAGAAAGGCCAAATAACTTGCCCAATGTTGTATAGCCTATTGGTTCAAACTGAGGTCTCTTTGACTCTATAAACCACTATTCTCACATAGGTCTGTTTATCTATAAAAACTTTGCTATTTAATAACTATTTTCTACTGCCTTCTTACATTCCCACGATACCTAGACCTATGCTGTACATGAGTATGTTGCTGACTTCTTAACTGATTTAAAAAGAGAACAACAGTATTTACTAACTGTGTTAAATGAAACCTGGCTTTCTCTATGCCTACTCTTGGGGTTCTCTTGGTGTGGCAGGAACTGTGAAATGCCTACCCAATAACCATTCTCCTCCTCTTCTCCCTTGACACCAGAACCCCATGAGCCTCTGGGGAGGCTCAGCCCTCCTCAGACCTGTTAGGTAAAGGAAGTGGGGGGTGTAGGGGGTGAATGTGGCAGGGGGATATGATTGCTGAGTTAGATACAAAACTGGTTAATGCCCAACAAGGCCATAAACCATCATCACCAGGGATATCTGTTCTACTGGACAGAAATTATTTGCATCTCTGCTGGACAAAAATATTCAAGTGTGCCTCTGCCTCCACAGAGTTAGGAAGTAGCCCAGATAATAGAAAGTTAAGTCCAGCACTGCAGTGGAAAAATATCCACTAATATCTTTTGTCTCTTCCATGTTTTTTGAAATTTTTCTAACATCAATGAGACACAAGGGAAGTCTGCTGGAATCTTGTAGGAAATACTTCCCTACTCTTATAAAAGACAAAAAAAGGGGGGAGTGACATGCCATATGTCCCTTTTACCTTTTCTGGAGTTTGGTTACTGTTGTGTGAAGGCGGGATACGTGGTCGTGTTACAGCCATTCTGGCAACCACAAGAGGACAAGTCTGACTACAAAAGCCAAACACACTGAGAATGGTGGAATAAAGAGAAAGAACTAGAACCCCAGAGAATACTGCTCAGCCACCCAAGTTAACCAGCTCTAGAACAACTCACTTTGGAGACTTCATGTTAGGCAAGGTAATAAATTTTCTCTACTGTTTAATCTGCTTCTGTTATTTGCAATTAAGAGTGTCTTAAGTTGATCACTTGGTTTCTATAGCTATTGATTCTAGGAAGTCAAAGAGACAACAGGTTTAGGATTTGCAATAGTGAGCTAAGGAGCCCACCAGAAGACTTGGTGCTGTAACTTTGGAGTAAGTAAAACATTCCAAAGAAACTCACCTGATGACACCTAGACTAGACAAGCAGAAGATGAATTACAAATAATACATTGATAGGCCTCTATAAATATATAAATTAGTAACTCATCAGTAGATACTTTAAGAATAAGGCATACAATATGTTAGAAAGCAGTTATGAGAAGTAATTAGCTGGCACTGTGGTAATGGAACAATAAATTCTATGCAACAAACCAGGTATCAAGCTATTTGCTAAATATCTATTGAAAAATTATAATTGGCCATGCATGGTGGCTCATGCCTGTAATCCCAGCACTTTGGGAGGCCGAGGCAGGCAGATCACAAGGTCAGGAGTTCGAGACCAGCCTGGCCAGCACGGTGAAACCCCATCTCTACTAAAAATACAAAAATTAGACGGGCATGGTGGCGTATGCCTGTAATCCCAGCTACTTGGGAGGTTGAGGCAGGAGAATTGCTTGAACCTGGGAAGCAGAGGTTACAGTGAGCCGAGATCATGCCATTGCACTCCACCCTGAGTGACAGAGCAAGACTCCGTCTCAGGAGAAAAAAAAAATCGTAATGTATTGGCTTTGTGGTTACAGTAAGCCAAAATGAGCCAGCATAATTTTATCCTATGTTTGGCTAATATCCATTCCTTTGAAGTATATGAAAATGAAATCCAACAAATAATAAGGTAACAGGCAATAAAGTTTATATGAAATCTTTCTTCTAAAAAGCTCAACACAGTTCTCCATCTATTATCTCAAGTGCACCATACCATATCTGTTCAAGTGGTGGGTCCCTCTCATTTCTATGTTTCATGACACCCAAGTGATCTGGTTAAGATTTGCTGACAGTTTCTGGTTCAAATTCATGCTAAAAATCCCATCTCCATCTCCCCATCAGGTCATTCTTCCCCAGCATCCAGGGCCCATGCTAGGATGAAGAACAGTCTGTGGAGGTACAGAGGGCAGGCATTTCTCAGGCCTCCAGCCCAAGGTAGAACTGTGGAGAAGGTATGGACAATTCCTCTCACCTCCCCTCAAGCCCTAATATGAACAGTTTATGATATGAAACCCTCCCTGGAGGTCTATCCTTCATCTAGCAGGTTCTCAGGGTGGATCACAAACTCTTCTTGCCAAAGGTGCTGGCACAGCCAATGGCTCCTTTGTGATGCACAACCCAGGCAACTCCTGTTACTGGTCTTTGCCATGTGGCCCCTGTCCTGGGCACTGAGGCACCTGCCTTTCTTCATCAGTCTCATTCCCCTCACTAACACAATGAGTCCTCTATGTTGTAAGTCAGAAGCAGGGTCAGGTCTTCCTCAAACTATTGGCCACTGTCAGCATATCAGGAGTGTGCCTACACCTGGCTCAGGGGTGAGGTTACCTTGAAAAAGTGACTGCAGGATATCCTCAAGAAGTGAGGACCAGGAGAAAGCAGGAATCTCCAGTAACACCAAACACAACTTCTCTCTGCTTTTCCACCTTCAAATCTGGGGTAGGACACCTCCTTCCACAGTCATATTTACGGACTCAGATTTCCAAGTATGGCTCTTCCCTGGAAGCCTCACTACATTAAAAATGAGTTCTTAACACTACCTTTCAGGAAAAAACACAACAGGGAGGAGGTTCCAAGATGGCCGAATAGGAACAGTTCCAGTCTACAGCTCCCAGCATGAGCGACACAGAAGATGGGTGATTTCTGCATTTCCAACTGAGGTACCGGGTTCATCTCACTGGGGCTTGCTGGACAGTGGGTGCAGCCCACAGAGCGTGAGCTGAAGCAGGGCGGGGCATCACCTCACCTGGGAAGTGCAAGGGGTCAGGGAATTCCCTTTCCTAGTCAAGGGAAGCCGTGACAGATGGTACCTGGAAAGTTGGGACACTCCCACCCTAATACTGTGCTTTTCCAATGGTCTTAGCAAATGGCACACCAGGAGATTATATCCCATGCATGGCTTGGAGGGTCCCACACCCACGGAGCCTCTCTCACTGCTAGCACAGCAGTCTGAGATCCAACTGCAAGGGGGCAGCGAGGCTGGGGGAGGGGCGTCCACCATTATTGAGGCTTGAGTAGGTAAACAAAGTGGCCTGGAAGCTCAAACTGGGTGGAGCCCACCGGAGTTCAAGGAGGCCTGCCTGCCTCTGTAGACTCCACCACTGGGGGCAGGGCATAGCTGAACAAAAGGCAGCAGAAACTTCTGCAGACTTAAACGTCCCTGTCTGATAGCTTTAAAGAGAGCAGTGGTTCTCCCAGCACAGAGTTTGAGATCTGAGAACGGACAGACTGCCTCCTTAACTGGGCCCTGAGCCCCGAGTAGCCTAACTGGGAGGCACATCCCAGTAGGGGCCAACAGACACCTCCTACAGCCAGGTGCCCCTCTGAGACCAAGCTTCCAGAGGAAGGATCAGGCAGCAACATTTGCCATTCTGCAATGTTTGCTGTTCTGCAGCCTCTGCTGGTGATACCCAGGCAAACAGGGTCTGCAATGGACCTCCAGCAAACTCCAGCAGACCTGCAGCTGAGGGTCCTGACTATTAGAAGGAAAACTAACAGACAGAAAGGACATCCACACCAAAACCCCATCTGTACGTCACCATCATCAAAGACCAAAGGGAGATAAAACCACAAAGATGGGGAGAAACCAGAGAAGAAATGCTGAAAATTCTAAAAATCAGAGCACCTCTTCTCCTCCAAAGGAACTCAGCTCCTCGCTAGCAACGGAACAAAGCTGGACGAAGAATGACTTTGACGAGTTGAGAGAAGAAGGGTTCAGCCGATAGGTAATAACAAACTTCCCCGAGCTAAAGGAGGATGTTCAAACCCATCTCAAAGAAGATGAAAACCTTGAAATAAGATTAGATGAATGGCTAACTAGAATAAACAGCATAGAGAAGACCTTAAATGACCTGATGGAACTGAAAACCATGGCACGAGAACTATGTGACGCATGCACAAGCTTCAGTAGCTGACTTGATCAAGTGGACGAAAGGGTACCAGTAATTGAAGATCAGATGAATGAAATGAAGCGAGAAGAGAAGTTTAGAGAAAAAAGAGTAAAAAGGAACGAACAAAGACTCCAAGAAATATAGGAGTATGTGAAAACACCAAATCTACATCTGATTAGTGTACCTGAAAGCGACAGGGAGAATAGAACCAACTTGGAAAACACTCTTCAGGATATTATCCAGAAGAACTTCCCCAATATAGCAAGGCAGGCCAATATTCAAATTCGGGAAACACAGAGAATGCCACAAAGAAACTCCTCAAGACGAGCAACTCCAAGCCACATAATTATCAGTTTCACCAAAGTTGAAATGAGGAAAAAATGTTAAGCGCAGCCAGAGTGAAAGGTCGGGTTACCCACAAAGGGAAACCCATCAGACTAACAGCGGATCTCTCAGCACAAACTCTACAAGCTAGAAGAGAGTGGGGGCCAATATTCAACATTCTTAAAGAAAAGAATTTTCAACCCAGAATTTCATATCCAGCCAAACTAAGCTTCATAAATGAGGCAGAAATAAAATCCTTTACAGACAAGCAAATGCTGAGAGATTTTGTCACCACCAGGTCTACCTTACAAGACCTCCTGAAGGAAGCACTAAACATGGAAAGGAACAACCAGTACCAGCCACTGCAAAAACATGCCAAATTGTAAAGACCATCGATGCTAGGAAGAAACTGCATCAACTAACGAGCAAAATAACCAGCTAACATCATAATGACAGGATCAAATTCACACATAACAATATTAACCATAAATGTAAATGGGCGAAATGCTCCAATTAAAAGACACAGACTGGCAAATTGGATAAAGAGTCAAGACCCATCGGTGTGCTGTATTCAGGAGATCCCTCTCATGTGTAGAGACACACATAGGCTCAAAATAAAGGGATGGAGGAAGATCTACCAAGCAACTGGAAAACAAAACAAAACATAAAAGCAGGGGTTGCAATCCTAGTCTCTGATAAAACAGAATTTAAACCAACAAAGATCAAAAGAGACAAAGAAGGCCATTACATAACGGTAAATGGATCAATGCAACAAGAAGAGCTAACTATCCTAAATATATATACACCCAATACAGGAGAACCCAGATTCATAAAGCAAGTCCTTAGAGACCTACAAAGAGACTTAGACTCCCACACAATAATAATGGGAGACTTTAACATCCCACTGTCAACATTAGGCAGAACAACAAGACAGAAAGTTAACAAGGATATCCAGGATTTGAACTCAGCTCAGCACCAAGCAGACCTAATAGACATCTACAGAACTCTCCACCCCAAATCAACGGAATATACATTCTTCTCAGCACCACATTGCACTTATTCCAAAATTGACCACATAGTTGGAAGTAAAGCCCTCCTCAGCAAACGTAAAAGAACAGAAATTATAACAAACTGTCTCTCAGACCACCGTGCAATCAAACTAGAACTCAGGATTAAGAAACTCACTCAAAACCGCTCAACTACATGGAAACTAAACAACCTGCTCTTGAATGACTACTGCGTACATAACAAAATGAAGGCAGAAATAAAGATATTCTTTGAAACCAATGAGAACAAAGACACAACATACCAGAATCTCTGGGACACATTTAAAGCGGTGAGTAGAGGGAAATTCATAGCACTAAATGCCCATGAGAGAAAGCAGGAAAGATCTAAAATTGACACCCTAACATCACAATTAAAAGAACTAGAGAAGCAAGAGCAAACACATTCAAAGCTAGCAGAAGGCAGGAAATAACTAAGATCAGAGCAGAACTGAAGAAGATAGAGACACAAAAAACCCTTCAAAAAATCAATCAATCCAGGAGCTGGTTTTTCAAAAGATCAACAAAATTGATAGACAGCTAGCAAGACTAATAAAGAAGAAAAAAGAGAAGAATCAAATAGATGCAAAAAAAATGATAAAGGGGATATCACCACCGATCCCACAGAAATACAAACTACCATCAGAGAATACTATAAACACCTCTACTCAAATAAACTAGAAAATCTAGAACAAACGGATAAATTCCTGGACACATACACCCTCCCAAGACTAAACCAGGAAGAAGTTGAATCCCTGAATAGACTAATAACAGGCTCTGAAATTGAGGCAATAATTAATAGCCTACCAACCAAAAAAAGTCCAGGACCAGATGGATTCACAGCCGAATTCTACCAGAGGTACAAACATGAATTGGTATCATTCCTTCTGAAATTATTCTAATCAACAGAAAAAGAGGGATCCTCCCTAACTCATTTTATGAGGCCAGCAACATCCTGATACCAAAGCCCACAGACACACAACAAAAAAAGAGAATTTTAGACCAATATCCCTGAGGAACATCGATGCAAAAATCCTCAATAAAATACTGGCAAACTGAATCCAACAGCACATCAAGAAGCTTATCCACCACGATCAAGTTGGCTTCATCCCTGGGATGCAAGGCTGGTTCAACATATGCAAATCAATAAACGTAATCCATCATATAAACAGAACCAAAGACAAAAACCACATGATTATCTCAATAGATGCAGAAAAGGCCTTCGACAAACTTCAACAGCCCTTCATACCCAAAACTCTCAATAAACTAAGTATTGATGGAATGTATCTCAAAATAATAAGAGCTATTTAGGACAAACCCACAGCCAATATCATACTGAATGGGCAAAAACTGGAAGCATTCTGTTTGAAAACTGGCACAAGACAGGGATGCCCTCTCTCACCACTCCTATTCAACATAGTGTTGGAAGTTCTGGTCAGGGGAATCAGGCAGGAGAAAGAAATAAAGGGTATTCAATCAGGAAAAGAGGAAGTCAAATTGTCCCTGTTTGCAGACGACATAATCATATACTTAGAAAACCCCATCGTCTCAGCCCAAAATCTACTTAAACTGATAAGCAACTTCAGCAAAATCTCAGGATACAAAATCAATGTGCAAAAATCACAAGCATTCCTGTACACCAATAACAGATAGAGAGCCAAATCATGAATGAATTCCCATTCACAATTGCTTCAAAGAGAATAAAATACCTAGGAATCCAACTTACAAGGGATGTGTATAGGACCTCTTCAAGTAGAACTACAAACCACTGCTCAATGAAATAAAAGAGGACACAAAGAAATGGAAGAACATTCCATGCTCATGGGTAGGAAGAATCAATATCGTGAAAATGGCCATACTGCCCAAGGTAATTTATAGATTCAATGCCATCCCCATCAAGCTACCAATGACTTTCTTCACAGAATTGGGAAAAAAAAACTAAAGTTCATATGGAACCAAAAAAGAGCCCACATTGCCAAGACAATCCTAAACCAAAAGAACAAAGCTCGAGGCATCACACAACCTGACTTCAAACTATACTACAAGGCTACAGTAACCAAAACAGCACGGTACTGCCACCAAAACAGAGATATAGACCAATGGGACAGAACAGAGCCCTCAGAAATAATACCACACATCTACAACTATCTGATCTTTGACAAACCTGAGGAAAACAAGCAATGGGGAAAGGATTCCCTCTTTAATAAATGGTGCTGGGAAAACTGGCTAGCCATAAGTAGAAAGCTGAAACTGGGTCCCTTCCTTACACCTTATATTAAATTTCTTCAAGATGGATTAAAGACTTAACTGTTAGACCTAAAACCATAAAAACCCTAGAAGAAAACCTAGGCAATACCATTCAGGACATAGGCATGTGCAAGGACTTCATGACTAAAACACCAAAAGCAATGGCAACAAAAGCCAAAATTGGCAAATGGGATCTAATTAAACTAAAGAGCTTCTGCACAGCAAAAGAAACTACCATCAGAGTGAACAGGCAACCTACAGAATGGGAGAAAATTTTTGCAATCTACCCATCTGACAAAGGGCTAATATCCAGAATCTACAAAGAACTTAAACAAATTTACAAGAAAAAATCAAACAACCCCATCAAGAAGTGGGCAAAGGATATGAACAGACACTTCTCAAAAGAAGACATTTATGCAGCCAAAAGACACATGAAAAAATGCTCATCATCACTGGCCATCAGAGAAATGCAAATCAAAACCACAATGAGATACCATCTCACACCAGGTAGAATGGCAATTATTAAAAAGTCAGGAAACAACAGGTGCTGGAGAGGATGTGGAGAAATAGGAACACTTTTACACTGTTGGTGGGATTGTAAACTAGTTCAACCATTGTGGAAGACAGTGTGGCGATTCCTCAAGGATCTAGAACTAGAAATACCATTTGACCCAGCCATCCCATTACTGGGTATATACCCAAAGGATTACAAATCATGCTGCTATAAAGACACATGCACACGTATGTTTATTGTGGCACTATTCACAATAACAAAGACTTGGAACCAACCCAAATTTCCATCAGTGATAGACTGGATTAAGAAAATGTGGCACATATACACCATGGAATACTATGCAGCCATAAAGAAGGATGTGTTCATGTTCTTTGTAGGGACATGGAAGAAGCTGGAAACCATCATTCTGAGCAAACTATCAGAAGGACAGAAAACCAAACACTGCACGTTCTCACTCATAGGTGAGAACTGAACAATGAGAACACTTGGACACAAGGTGGGGAACATCACACACTGGAGCCTGTCATGGGGTGGGGGGAAGGCGAGGGATAGCATTAGGAGAGATACCTAATGTAAATGACGAGTTAATGGGTGCAGCACACCAACATGGCACATGTATACATATGTAACAAACCTGCACGTTGTGTACATGTATCCTAGAACTTAAAGTATAATAAAGAAAGAAAGAAAGAAAGAAAGAAAGAAAGAAAGAAAGAAAGAAAGAAAGAAAGAAAGAAAGAAAGAAAGAAAGAAAGAAAGAAAACACTACCTTTCAGGGAACATTTTAGCCACTCTACCACAATACCTCGCCAAGCTGGCTGGGAAATCCATGGGCAGTGAGGTGATGAGGAAGCCGTCTTGGAGTAAGTGCCCAGCCCTGTTCTCTCCTCTACTTGGAAAGCACCAAAATCAGCAAGGCCTTGAGACCACCAGCAGGTGGGCTCTCTGCAGAGAGGCTGCTCTGTCCTTTATCTTAAGAAATTGACATAACTGAACTCCCCGCCCAGAACAGTAATGGGTTTCAGTGCAACATTCTCAAGATAGCTTCTAGTGAACTGTGAATTTTCTCAGGTTTTAACATCATTATTTATGTGTTTATGCCATATGTTATAGATTTAGAATAATGTATAAATAAACCAAATTAAAATAAGTACAGGAAGCTCCAAAGGAGTGAACAGATTCTTCACTTTTTCTGTAACTTCATTCTTCTTAGTGTTTCCAGGGTCTTCTTTATCTCCTCTACGGCTGCACTGTATTAGTCTGGGTTCTAATGATAAATGATTTATTATGAAGAATTGGCTCATGAATTAGGGAGGCTGAGAAGTCCCACAATCTGCTGTCTACAAGCTAGAGACCCAGGAAAGCCAATAGTGTAATTCAGTCCCTGTCCAAAGGACTGAGAACCAGGGGAGCCAATGGTGTAAATCCCAGTCTGAGGGTAGGAGATGAGATGTCTAGCTTAAGTAGTGAGGCAGGAACAAGGGGGCAAATTCCTCCTTCCTCTGTCTTTTGTTCCATTCAAGCCATCAAGGGATTGGATGATGCCTGCCCACACTGTGGAGGGCAATCTACTTTACTGAGTCCACAGATTCAAATGCTAATCTCATCCAGAACCATCTTCAAAGACACACCTGTAAACAATGTGTAATTCTGGGCATCTACTGCCCAGTCAACTTGACACATAAAATCAACCATCATATATATAAACTAAAATTTTTGCAAGGCATTTGCAACAAACCTAACCTCTTCACATGTATTGTTTCCAAGGTAATCTTAACTCATATGTAAGCCAATTTATGTAATTTTCAAAATATACTTTAATATATACTGTAGATCATATAAGGAGAAAACTAGAATAATGCTTTGTAGACAAGCCTATATTTATCAGCTGTAATTTGAAAGATTTTAGTCTAAAGCTGAGTGAAACATTGTAGTAGACTTATTCTTGTTCCCAAGTATTCACGCTTCTTATTCCTTGCAGTGAGGGGTCCCTTTGGGAGGAAGAGGCATCTCCACCCCCTCTGACATTAAGAGTGGTCATGTGACTTCTCTGGTTAATGACATGTGAGCAGACTGGATGATTGTCATGTCTGAGCAAGGGGTTTCCACTCTCTTGCTTTTCCCTCCACCAGGAGTAAAGCCTGTCCTGGATAGGGCTGCTCCTTCAGTTTGGGTACTGGAATGAAGACATGTAGAGCAGACTTGCAGATGACCCATATCTGTCAATATGCAACATGAGCAGGAAATGATTGCTGCTGTAAGCCACGACACTGGAGTTTTGTTAATACAGCATGACTCCCTTCGGCAAGAACATGTTTTAGTGCTACGTTCTCAAAGTAGCTTTCTGTGAATAGTCTTGGCTTTTTAATTATTTATAAATGTTTATGCCATATGCTAAAAAAAATCATTCCTTTGGATTTAAAAAGTTTTAAAGTCAGACAATTAAGATAAATAAGTTTATTTTCTGAAGGAAACATGTTTTATACTAAATTAAATACTGAAAACCAACAGAAGTGAAACATAGATTATACATTTACAATCAGGAATAATATATATATAACTGCTCCATTTAAAAACCATTCTAAAATTGGATCAAGATGAAGACAACTTCCTCCCCCTCCTCACTCCAACTTCCTCCCCCTCCTCACTCCAAATTCCCAGAAATACAAGAAATTTTTCAAGAGGAAATTCACAATAGTGCTAGAAAACAATAGTTATATTTAAGCAAGATTGCCTTTTTTTTTTTTTTTTTTTGAGAGGGAGTCTTGCACTGTCACCCAGGCTAGAATACGATGGTGCAATCTCGGCTCACTGCAACCTCCACCTCCCAGGTTCAAGCCATTCTCCTGCCTCAGCCTCCAAGTAGCTGGGATTACAGGTGCCTGCCGCCATGCCTCGCTAATTTTTTGTATTTTCAGTAGAGATGGGGTTTCACTATGTCGGCCAGGCTAGTCTCAAACTCCTAACCTTGTGATCCACCCGCCTTGGCCTCCCAAAGTGCTGGGATTACAGACGTGAGCCACTGTGCCCGGCCTGCTTTTTCTTTTTTTCCCCAAAAATTCAGGAAAGAATGCAGGAAGAGAAACTCAAAACTTAAAACACTATTAGAAGAGTCCTGCCTCTGCATCCCTCTACCCACAGCAGCCACTAGTTCAACCATGCATTCTGCACAGCTTTTCTGGCTTCTCCTTCTCACTCTTCCCACTTATTGGCTTCTGATTTCTAAGATTACCTCCTAAAACTCTATTTGTACCCTAGTCTTTGTTTCAGAGCTCTGATATTGTAGGAACCCAAACAAAGTCAAGCCCTGATGGTTCCCTAAGATCCAGAGCCTCACTTCTAACTTCCTTCTCTCATTCTCATTCTCTCTCTCTCCTCCCTCTCCTTCTTCTCTCTCCATATTCTACCCAGCATATTCATAATTAAACTCATCACCATTGTTTCAAACCTGTCTTTCCAATTTCTCATTCATCCAGGCACAAAACCTCAGGTTCATCTTTGACCTTCTATCACATCTCAGATACACTTAATTGCAAGTCCAGTCATTTCAACTTACTGAGTTCATTCTCATCTTTCCTCATTCTACCCACCTCTGCCAGCTTGGTTTAGGTCTCACAATCTCATGCATGGATATTATAAAAGGTTCTTGACTGATAACCCAAGTTACCTTCTCTCCTTGATATAATTTATCATCTAACCTTCCTGAAGCAAGCTCTGGCAATATTATATAACTCCACTCAAAAAGCTCTTGTGGAGTTCAATGTCTATGCTCCAAAATAAAGCCCTCTTGACCTCAGCCTACCTTTGCAAACAACTTTATTCATTACTCCAAGAACCTTCCCAATAGAACTACTCATGATTCTCTCTAAAAGTTCCATGTTTTCCCACCTCTGTGGCTGTGCTCTGTTCCCTATATCTGGAAAGCTCTGACCCATTTTTCATCATACTTGAAACCTACCTTGGGTCAAGTGCTACTTCTTCCAAGAAGAAGCCTCCATTGATTCTCCAAATGAAAACATTATCTCTCTTCTGATCTCCTGTAACACTAAATTGTACTTTTCTTGGCCCTTTTATCACTTGTTTTAAACTAGAGTATAACTTACATTAAAATGCAAAAATCTTAAATTTGATGATTTTTTACATATATATCAACATCTGTACCACTCTTGTAATCCTCTATCCAGATTAAGATATAGAACATTTCTAACATCCCAGGTTTCTTTGTGCCCCTTCCAGGCAAAACCCCTTTGCAAGAGTAATCACTATTCTGACTTATCTTAGGTTAGTTTTGCCTATTTTTGAACTTCATATAAATGTAGTCATGCAGTATACACTCTTTTGCATCTGGCTTCTGTCATCCTACCTCTGATCTCTGAGATTCACCCAGGTCATGCTTATTATCAATTGTGTATTGTTTTTAAATTATAGAATAGTAATTTTAAAAGTCCATTATAGGGCCATACCACACTCAGGTTAACCATTCCACTGTAGATGAATATTTTTTAATGTTTTCACTATTACAAAAAAGGCTTCTATGGACATTTCTGCATACCTTTTGTTGGACATCAGCACTCATTTCTACCCTTAGGAATAGAATTACTGGGTCATAGCTATTTGTATGTTTGGCTTAGAAAGTTTTGCAAACATTTCTCAAAAGTGTTTATATCAATGTATACCCTATTAACAATATAAAATAATTCCAGGTACTCCATATGTTTACCAACACTTGCTACTGTCATCGTTTTTAAAACCCCTTTTGATGTCTGTGCTCTCATTTCTATATTAAATTATAACAACAACATTACATAGAGCTTAACATTTTGCAAACTTTTAAACTGTCTAATATCTGAATGCATATTTTCTACCCTTTAATGTAAGCAAGGAGAGTCCTATTATTATCCTTACTTTATATTAGGTAGGTGCAAAAATAATTGTGGCTTTTGTCATTAAAAATAATGGCAAAAACCACAATTACTTTTGCACCAATCTAATAGATGAGGAAACAGGTTCAGAGAGGAGAGCTTGCTCTCATGACCAGCTTGCTCAAGGTCATGAATCTGGTGAATAGTGGAGACAATGAATTGTGCACATCCACCATGGTGCATGGCTTATAGTTATAAGGGTACATGTTTTATGTCGGCTAGCTTACTAACAGCTCTTTGAGGTTGAGACTTATTTTTAATTTATCACTATCTAATGAAGGAATGAATGAACCGAAACATAAAATTGTAATTTCTCTGTACATAAAAATTTTACAGTAATTGGTTATAATAACATAATGACTAAGAAGCACCATCAATTGTTACCTGAATCACAAAGGATTGTATTTCAGATCCACAGATTCACAAATATCCAAATATTTAGTCTCATTTAATGACTTTCTTTGAATATTAAAGGATTAAAAATTATAAGCCTCTGTTCAAAGGGTTATTTTAAACTCATTTATTTTAACTATTACTAAGCAGTCTTAAAGGTATCAAAAATATTTGGGTTCTTAAATCAACCAAATTCCAGTTTTGTATTTTGTGCATAGAATACCATAGTTAGCATCTTAATATGTGTTGTTTTTTAGTTGTTTTTCTTGCATATAACCTAACAATATGCTAAGAAATAAAGAAATAAAAGAAATACCAATATAAATGTATGTACACAGAAGTTTTACAGTCAGTAGCTTTGGGTAGCTTATTAAAAGATTATTTGATTCATTTAAGTCAAATAATCTTTTAATAAAAGATTTCTAAAGATAGTTTGACATCATCCAACAGATTGTTATGAGGTGTCAATAAATCAGTAGCTATCTGTATCAACAAGCATGTGTTTTAGAAGATACATGGCGAATTACAGAATAATCCGATTACTTTTTATGCTGTCAGAAAGTACAGATGACACATTTAAGCAACCTGACATCCACGGATAGTTAGACCTTGGTGTGCTTTATAAATTACCCCCTTTCGTTCAAGAAGAATGGTACCATGTGTTAACGCCCACTTCCAAGGTGAAAGCGACCACAGACACCTCAGAATATCCACTTCTTTTTTGTCTATGTATGTTCATCTTTTCAAACGTGTTCATATCATTTTATGGGTCTCTAAAATATTTAACTTCTAAAACTTCTTACTTTTGACCTATAAAAATTCATTAAAAGTTTTAAAATACATTTTTGAGGCAGAGATTGTAAATGTAAATCACAGATAATCAAAATAATTGACCTTCATTATGAGATACTTCATATCAAAACTGACTTTCTATCTGAATACTTATCCCTCTGAGGTGAAAGAATACATTCTGTCTCAATTACTGAGCTCTTTTGGGATGTGAACCTAGCTAAGTGTGCACTGACACATTCCAAGGCGACCACACAATTCATTTGTGGCATACTAAGGTATTTACAACTCAAGCCTGCTGTAAGATACAATAAATTCATAGGATGCCAAAGGTTTCTGAGAACTTCCTGTAATTCACAGGACATGATCAGACATAATGAAATGTGTTTAATACAAATTTCTGTCTTATATTCAAGGCCAACTTGAGTTTCAGAACAGCAACAAAAAGCTATGCAAGTAAATCCTCTAGATATAATCATTCAACAGTTTTCTCAAGGAAAAACATATTATAGATGTTTAATTTTAGCCATATACCTTTTGAACTTGTTTTCTTTCAATTATAGAAAAAAAATTCACTTTTCAAGTTCAAACATGACTGTTAAAAATATATCATGCTCCCCCAGTAGCAAATGAACATACCTCTCATGCATGTAGTCAACTCCCAGCAGCAGCTGGATAAACCATTCTATTATTTGATTTTCTGGAAAGATTTTTCCAGCTTGTTTATATTCCTGAATTTTATCGTCCAGATCTCGGCCCTGAAATGAAGAGCATAATCTTTCATATTTTTTCAGCTAATATGTTAAAATCAAGTTCACTTAACAACAGTTAATACATAGCAGTCACTGTTTATAAGAAAGTGCCATTCTGTAATTATCACTGACAAAGATTCTCTCTTTAATCAAAGTCTATCCAGGTTCCTTTGAGCACTCTTCTCAGCTCGGCCTCAACATTAACCTATAAAGACTTTAACAAACACGAATCTATTAATAGTTTCTAAAAGCCCAAGGCCACAACCCTAGGATGGTCCTACCCTCCTACCCCTTAAAGTTCCTACCTGAGAAAACTCAAGGTAGACAGAAGAATTGACAGTTTCTTCCAGCCAATGCCTGAAGATAGGGCTCTTGTCTCCCAATCTCTAAGGAAGGTTAGGAGTCTAACTTTGATGAGCACCAGATAACAAACCCACATGAGTTTACAGGGACCAACCTCCACTTCCTGATTTTTGTAATTTTTCACTTCCTTGACTCTGCTCAGGCCCCTGCTGTTCCTCTTCCCTACTCCCTTATTCTCCCTGAATACCCAGTCACTCTGCACAAATTAGAATGGAGCTTAGCTCTTTCCTCTAGTATCAGTAGTTACTTCATAAAATCTGTTTTAAATGCTTTAATGATATCACTCCAGGAAAAAACCCTTATAAGGAGAAAAGTTATCACACAAACCTTCAATCTAAATTATTTTTTATTATATTACCTATATATGCACCCACATAAAACTAGCAATAACTTTTCTTACACTTAGAGTTGTATATAATTATAGAATCTTAACATATAAAACTTAAAAAGGTCGGCCAATAAAATTCAAATCAGTGATATGAATTTAATATAAAGTGATGATTTTTGGTGAAACTAAATTGGCACTTATATTGTGCATATAGCTGCTGTAGTATAGCTTCTTTTGAGTTCAGCATGCCCAGGGTACCATGCGCATTGGGATGACTGAATTCTCCTTTCCTCTACGTAGCTATAGCAAAACCCTAAGGAATATAATAACTGTGGATCTATGTGGGGATCCAAGCACATCGTTTAAGCATTTAGTTAAGCTCTATCCTATCATTCACTGGCAATAAGTAAAATAATAATACTTATTATTAAGGCCAAAAACTAACTATGATCAAAAATGACAAACATCTAAAATAGCCTGGCAGTGTCTGACATAATGCCCTTTCTGAATATGGTTGTACTGATGTATTTCAATTGCTATAAAAATAAAAATGTCAAATGCTAAATTTTCTTAGAGAACCCTTAGACCTGATCCATTTTACTGTAAAACACCGAAAACTTAGAGATAATTTGAGAAATGTTCCTCTAAAGAAAAGGATGGATTCAATGTTAACTGTGTTTAGTCTTTGCAGGATGCAAAACACAGGCCCCATAAAGAGTGGGAGAGGTCCTTATCATATTCATGGGGAGCAAAAGTGGAAAAAATAAGCTAGTCATAGACTACTCATGACAGAGTTGTTGTTAAGATGCAAAGGAAGAACATTTATAGGCAATGAGACAATCCAAAAGAAATTACTTCTAATGAAACAATATGAGGTCAACTGATTCACTTCTAATGCACTTTTTATTTCCTTACAGTGCAATGTGCAAATATTTGCTTAGCATTTTCTCTCCTACACAGGGCCGTAACAAATCAAAAGTATAGCAAACATTCACTAGCAGCCTAGCTCAAGTACGGTTTCCTGATAGTTTTTCTGGGCCAAGGAGAGTGTTCCAAAGCTTGGTGGAATTCAAAAATATGGCGAATTGAATACTTAACTCCTTGTCTAAAAGACTATCATTTCTTTCTCATTCTTCAAACCTGCCTTTATTTCTTCTCTCTTTTTACTCCTTGAGTTTATCAGAATTCTGTTGAGCCATACAAGCTGTACTCTCATGTTTCTGTAAGTTGCAAAGAACATTTCTGACAATAGATCATTATAACATCCTGTGTAGCAGACATGAAAGTCCTTCAGATGAAAGGTGACCTGTAAACATACAGTTGACCCTTGAATAACATGGGTTTGAACTGCGTAGGTCTGCTTAATATATCAGTTTACAAGCTTATAATATCAGCTTCTAAACTGATATTTTTTCAACCAAACACATATTGGAAATACAATATTTGCAGGAATGGAAATCTGCATATATGAAGGGCTTTTGTATATATGAAGGTTCTGCAGGGCCAACTGCAGGACTTGAGTATGCGAGGATTCTGGTATATCTCATTTAGTTTCTCTGAACACGATAAAACATCTCCAGTGGCAGAAAGACTATTGCCTACATGTTGCCATCTTCTTCCTGAATACCTTCAGAAGAGGAGTGAAAGGAGAGAGAAGAGGATGAAGACAATGATAAAGAAAAAGGAAAAGAAAAATTTGCCTTAAAGAAATATCAGTGAAGCTACCTGCTAGCTTCTTTTTTTTTTATTTTATTATTATTATACTTTAAGTTTTAGGGTACATGTGCACGACGTATGTCAACCCAATGTATCGCTTTAAAAACACCAAAAATAAGCACAATTTTCTCCATGTACAAAAATTATGGTCCCAGAACCTGTGCATTTTTTTAAAATGTGTTAACCTTACTAAGGACAAGCTAGAATTACAGTGGCCACAGTGAAGTTTTAACCCAGATAAAATTGGTTACTTGTGAGGCACATTAGAGAAGAAAGGATCCAACATACCACAAAAGCAATGGGACACACTCTTTAATGGATACACAGAAGTATTAAATATCTAAGATATGAAATGAATCAAAGATTTCCTCTTTAAAAGATTCCTTAGAGAAGGCCAATGGAAAAAATCTTAAGTCTTTTCTACAAATATCAGTCAAAAGCTTTAGCCATCTGGGTGGGTAATCTTGTTCCATGGGCCAGAAAAAAATTCACTTCCAGATTAGTGAGCTTTGTGTTATTGTACTTGGCACCTGGCTAAAATTTTTAAATGAATACTACAAGATCTGTTTTTATGTTTATATTTATATATGTCAGTATGTATGTTATGAATGTGTAACATATTTCTTTTTCTTTATGGTATTGCCAAAATTAAGTTGTAAAAGAGAACTATTTAATTGGTTTAAAGAAAAATAAGTGCTTATATAAAATAGGTATTCCTTAAACCCTTAGAAACAAACCTAAAATATTTTTCAAGTTGACATAATCTTGGATAATCTTCGGTAAATAGTAGCTAATAAAAGTATATTGGCTTGATTAATGCAGGCATACCTTCAGAGTTGTCGGCATTTAGTATAATACAGATGCACAACTCTTCTCCCCTAGGTTTATTTAGTAAAATAAGTTCATGTTATCTCTATGTGACATAGCTTGTCAGCAAGAAAAATAACTTAAGGTGATGGCTAGCTATTTAATGTCTCATCTTTATGAGCATTTCAAGCATAATTGTTAAAAGCAAGAGTCAAATAGAGGTAAGATAGAATTCCCATGTGAAAAATGTCCTTTCTATACCAGAAACTTTTAACATTCTTACGAAGGATGGGAAAAAAAAAAAAAAAGCCCTAACAGGATAGAAATAAAAATTTGTTTCCTCTACAGTTTCTTACTACAGAGAGACTAAAGACAGTTGGGACTGTTAATAAATGTTCTGTGCCACATTGAAAAAAATGTATTATAAAAAAGTACATGCTCCTAGAATTATAATTCACAGGTTTTCCAATCTATAGACTGCTGGCATGATATTCACACTTGCTTGCTTCCTAGTGTTCACTAGAAATTAAGGTCATAAAGGGCTAAGAATTCTAATTAAAATATGTAACTAAAATTACTAGAAATAATAAGGAAAACAACTTTATATGCAAGTATACAATATAGGTAAGATGTGCTTTTGGTAAGGAAAAGCATAAGTTATGAGGATGTGAATTGTTCTGTTAAAACAAAAAGAGAATAATTTTTGTTCTAGAGCAGAATGATTGATCCAAAATGAGAAAGAACTATTTGGGGAAAAAAACTGACTGGATATTAGAAAGTAATATGGTTTAGCTGTGTCCCCACCCAAAATCTCATCTTGAATTGTAATCCCCATAATCTCCACATGTCAAGGGCGGGACCAGGTGGAGATAATCAAATCATGGGGGTGGTTTCCCCCATGCTGTTCTCATGACAGTGAGTGAGTCTCAGAAGATCTGATGGTTTTATAAGCATCTAGCATTTCCCCTGCTTGCACTCACTCCATCCTGCTGCCCTGTGAAGAAGTGCCTGCTTCTCCTTTGCCTTCCAACATGATTATAAGCTTCCTGGGGCTTCCCCAGCCATGTGGAACTGTGAGTCAATTAAACCTCTTTCCTTTATAAATTACCCAGTCTTGGCTATTTCTTCATTGAGAATGGACTAATACAAAAAGTCTGTAGAAGGGAAACCTTGGGAAAGAAATTTTATACGTGATTAAGCTAGCTAAGATTAGACGTGCTATTTATAAATTTTTCTAAAAATTAAGCATTAATATCAAAAACACTATGAAGGGAAATTAGAATTTCATCCTTTATGTTAAAACAACTTTTTCTTGAGGTACTGGTCTACTTTTAACAGGAAATTGTGAAAAGGTTTTTTGTTTGTTTGTTTTGTTTTTACCTTTTAGGTAATTGGCTAAGGAAATATTCTGCATTTTGTCAAGATAATTAAGAAAGTTAAAGAAATGCCATGATGGCTGACTTGCCAAGATGACTGACTAGAAGCAGTTAGTGCATGCTGCTCTCATGGAGAAGAGGCAGAGCTGCAAGTAAACACTAGATCTTCAAGTGGATCATACAGGAGGCCATGTTTTGATTCATCAAAGAAGCAACAGCGACCCACAGAAAGCAAAGAAGAGCAAGGTAGGACAGCTGCCCACCCAGGATTGGTGCAGAGCCAGAGGAGGCTCCCAGCTGCAAGGAAAGGATGAGAGGATGAGTGAGAGTCCCCAAGGACCACATGTCTGCATGACCTTTGTAATCTTGGGCACAGGAGAGGCCCCCGGCTCCCCTGGGCTTCCAGATCGACACAGAGAGCTTGTGGAGTCTGTGC
Source organism: Homo sapiens (assembly GCF_000001405.40). Taxonomy (NCBI): domain Eukaryota; kingdom Metazoa; phylum Chordata; class Mammalia; order Primates; family Hominidae; genus Homo; species Homo sapiens. The sequence goes on along the minus strand of NC_000003.12, from coordinate 131,104,782 downwards.
AGAGCTACCACTGAAGCCCACATTGAGCTCCATGAGCCTTGGATCTCTGAGCATGTTGGTGCCAGCTGCCATAGCCCTACAAACAAAGGAGCTCAGGCTCTCTCGTGCACCTCTAGGATAGGTACCACACGCACGGTGCTGAGGAGAGGATGAACTGCAGACTGTACCTCATCAGGCAAGGTCCAATCACAGCCACCCCACCCCAATCTGAACATTCCAGCTGGTCATCGCTCTTCTTTCCTCTGGGATGGAGCTCCCAGAGGCAACTGACAAGCCTGCTGCAATTGCCACTGCTACAGCCCCTGCCCCTGCTGTCCTCAGGCTGGGGAGAGAGTAAAGAATCTAAGAACTGTCATTGGCCTCCAGAATGCCACAGCTGCCATACAGTAAGGCAGCCAGACTGTTTTCCATGCAGCTCTCTGAACTTGCTGCTCCTGATTGGGCACGGCCTTCCAGCTTAGGCCCCCAGAGCAGCTGTGCCACTCCCACCTGATCAGTTAGTGGTGGTTCTGCATTTCTCTGGGGTGGAGCTTCCAGAGACAACTGACAGGCCCTCTGTCACTGCCACCACCATAGTACCCACCCATCACCCCCAACACCCAGGCTAGAAAGGGAACAAACAGCCTGATTGTTGTTGCAGGCCTATAGCACACCACAGCCATCCTATGGAGAAGAGGCCAAACTATCTTCTTTTGTCTTCCCTAGGCAGAGCCCCCACCCCACCTACTCCCAAGCTTGGGCCCACAGCACAGCTGCCCCATCCCTAGCTGATCACTCAAATTAGCCATAGCTATGCATTTCTTTGGGGTGGCACCCCCTGAGGTAACTGGCAGGCTGTATGCCATTGCTGCCACTGCAGCCCCACCTCTGCTGCCCCCAAGGTGGGGAAGGAACAAAAACCCTGATCTCTCCCCAGGGCTGCAGTGCATAGCCTAGGAGTACTAAGGCACTTGAGTGGGAATGGAGCCCACATTCTCAGAGCACTAAGAGGGTTGAGTCACGTGGGTTCATGGGCCGCAGCAGGAATAGGCATGCCTTTCTCCACAGAGCCAGACTGAAAAGGTATGGTCTATCTCCCTACTTCAGCCTCTGACTGAGGGAACCCTGCAGCCCAAACATCTAACAAAAGAAATGCAGGTACAGTGCCAGTGATTGGAAGGAGTTCCCCCAAGGCCCAGGAGTAAATGCAGTGAAGGGGTCACCTCTCTTGCCACTGCACCACAGAGCAAGCTTGCAAGTGGCAGGAAATACAAAGGAGCCATGCAGCAGAGTAAGAGCCTCTACCAGCAAATACGCTTAAGCTTCATCTACTGGATTGCAGCCCAAACTACAACAACAAAAATACTTTGCTAATATAACCCCCTATAAGACCAAGGGTAAGAATTCAGCCACAAATAAAGAAGCTGCATAGAGCATTGGCCCTCTGAAAACATCCAGAAATGAAGCCAACTAACTATACTCAATTTACACCACAATTAAAGGAACGCCAACCTTCTCAGATGAGAAAGAACCAACTCAAGAGTTCTGGCAATGCAAAAAGCCAGAGTGTACCCTTACCTCCAAACAAGTCCACTAGCTCCCCAGCAATGGTTTTTAACCAATCAAAAGTGACTGAAATGACAGACATAGAATGTGGACTCTGGATGACAAGGAATCTCATGGAGATTCAGGAGAGAGTTGAAACCCAACCCAAGGATTCCAAGGAATTAGTAAAATGATCTAAGAGCTGAAAGATGAAATAGCCATTTAAAAAAGAACCAAATTGAGCTTCTAGAGCTGAAAAATTGACTACAAGAATTTCATAATATAATCAAAAGTATTAACAGAAGGATCAAAGCTGAGAAAAGAATCTCAGAGCTCAAAGACCAGTTCTTCGAATCAACTCAGTTGGACAAAAATAAAGAAAAATAATTTTTAAAAATGAATAAAACTTCTGATAAATATAGGATTATATAAAGAGACCAAATCTATGACTCAATGGTATTCCTGAGAGAGAGAGAATAAACAACTCAGATAATATATTTGAGGATATAGTCCATGAAAATTTCCCTAATGTTGCTAGAGAGGATGACATGCAAAACGAATAAATACAGAGAACCTTGGTTAGACACCATATAAGTCAACCATCCCCAAGGCACATAGTCATCAGATTCACCAAGGTCAAGGTAAAAGAAAAAATCTTAAAGGAAGAGAGAAAAGTCAATTCATGCACAGAGGGAAACCCATCAGGCTAGCAGCAAACCTCTCAGCGGAAACCTTACAAGCCAGAAGAGATTGGGGTACTATTTTCAGCACTCTTAAATAAAAGAAATTTCAACCAAGAATTTCATATCTCATCAAACAAAGATTCATAAGTGAAGGAGAAATAAAACCCTTCTCAGAAAAGCAGATGCTGAGGGAATTCATTTTAACTAGACCAGCCTCACGAGTGGTCCTTAAGGGAGTGCTAAATGTGGAATTGAAAGAATGGCACCTGCTACCACAAAAACACACATAGGCACATAGCCCACAGGCACTGCAAAGCAATCTTAATTCTACATAACAACCGGCTAACAACATGATGACAGGATCAATATCTCACATATTAATAATAACCCTGAATGTAAATGAGCTAAACATCCCATATAAAAGCAAAAGAGTGGCAAGCTAACACCCATCTAACATGTAATGGTACACACGGGCTCAAAGTAAAGGGATGGAGAAAGATTCACTATCCAAACAAAAAAACAAAAAAGAGCAGGAGTCACTATTCCCATATAAAATAACCCAGATTTTAAACCAACAAAAATTAAGGAGAACACAGAAGGACATTACATAATGATAAAGGCTTAATTGAACAAGAAGGCTTAACTATACCAAACATATATGCACCTAGTACTATAGTATCCAGATTCATAAAACAAGTTCTTCTTGGCCTATGAAAAGACTTAGACAAACACATAGTAATACAGTGAGGCTTCAGTACCCCACTGACAGCATTAGACATACCATCAAGGCAGAAAACTAACAAAGAAACTATGGACTTAACACTTCACCCACTGGACATAATAAACATTTATAGAACACTCCATCCAACAACCACAGAATATATATGCTTCTCTTCTCCACATGAACATATTCTAAGATCGAACTCATGCTTGGTCATAAAGCAAGTCTCAATAAATTCAAAAACTTGAAATCATACCAAGCATACTCTCAGACCACAGTGCATAAAAATATAAATCAATATCAAGAAGACCTCTCAAAACTACACAGTTACATGGAAATTAAACAACTTGCTCCTGAATAACTTCTGGGTTAACAACAAAATTAAGGCAGAAATCAAACAATTCTTTGAAATTAATGAAAATAGAGACACAACATACCAAAATCTCCAGGGTGTAGCTCAACATGTTAAGAGGAAAGTTTATAGTACTAAATACCTTCATCAAGAAGTTAGAAAGAGCTCAAATTAACTATTTAACTTTGGACGTAAAGGAACTAGGAAAAAAGAACAAACCAACCCTAAAGCTAGCAGAAGAAAAACAATAACTGAAATTAGAGAAGAACTGAATGAAACTCAGATGCAAAAATCTATACAAAAGGTCAGTGACACCAAGAGTTGGTTCTTATAAAAAATAAACAAGATTGGTAGACCTCTAGCTAGATTAACAACAAAAAAGAGATCCAAATAAGCATAATCAGAAATGACAAAGATGATATTACAACCAATCCCATAGAAATACAAAAGATCCTCAGAGAATACTACGACCAACTTACACACACAAAATAGAAAATCTAGAGGAAACACATAAATTCCTGGAAACACACAATCTCCCAAGACTGAATCAGGAAGAGATTAAAACTCTGAATAGACCAATACTGAGCTCTGCAATAATAATAATAATAAAACCTACCAACCAAAAAAAGTCCTGCACCAGATGGATTCACAGCTGAATTCTACCAGTTGTACAAAAAGAACTAGTACCAATCCTACTAAAACTATTCCAAAAAATCAAGGAGGAGGGGCTCCTCCCTAATTCACTCTATGAAGCCAGCAACTGCCTAATACCAAAATCTGGCAAAGATGCAACGAAAAAGGAGAACTTCAGGCCAATATCCATGATGAACATTGATGCAAAAATCCTCAATAAAACATAGCAAACTGAATCCAGTAGCACAGCAAAAAGTTAATATGCCAAAATCAAGTAGGCTTAATTAATTTATTTATTTAGAGATAGAGTCTTGCAGTGTCACTTGTGCTGGAGTGCAATGGCATGATCTCAGCTCATTGCAACCTTGGCCTCCCAGGTTCACACGATTATCCTGCCTCAGCCTCCTGAGTAGCCACCAGCTAATTTTTTATATTTTTAGTAGAGACGGGATTTCACCATGTTGGCCAGACTAGCTGCAACTCCTGACCTCGTGATCTGCCCACCTCAGCCTCCCAAAGTGCTGGGATTACAGGCATGAGCCATCATGCCTGGCCCAAGTAGGCCTTATTTTTGGGATGCAAGGTTGGCTTAACATACACAAATCAATAAATGTGATTCACCCACCACATAAACAAAATTAAAAGCGAAAACCATATGATCATCTTAATAAATGCAGAAAAAGCTTTTAAGAAAATCCAACATCCATGATAAAAACCCTCAACAGACCAGGCATTAAAGGAACATACCTCAAAATAATAAGAGCCATCTATGAAGAATTCTCAGCCAACATCATACTGAATGGCAAAAACTGGAACCATTCTCTTTGAGAACTGGAACAAGATGAGGGTGCCCACTCTTACCACTCCCATTCAACATACTACTGGAAGTCCTAGCCAGAGCAACTGGGCAAGAGAAAGAAATAAAAGGCATCCAAAACGAAGTCAGCTATCTCTCTTTGCTGACAGTATGATTCTATTCCTAAAACACCCTAAAGACTCCACCAAAAGACTATTAGAAGTGATAAACAATTTTAGTAAGGTTTCAGGATACAAAATCAATGTACAAAAATCAATAGCATTTCTATAAGCCAATAATGTCCAGGCTGAGAGTCAAATCAAGAACACAATCCCATTTAAAATAGCCACAAAGAAAATGAAATGCCCAGGAATACAGCTAACCATAGAGGTGAAAGATCTCTACAAGGAGAAATATAAAACATTGCTGAAAGAAATCAGTGATGACACTAATAAATGGAAAAAACATTCCATACTTATGGATTGGAAGAATCAATACTGTTAAAATAGCCATACTGCCCTAAGCAATCTACAGATTCAACACTATTCCTATCAAACTACCAGCATCATTCTTCACAGAATTAGAAAAAACTACTCTAACATTCATATGGAACCAAAAAAGAGCCTGAATAGCCAAAGCAATCCTAAGGAAAAGAACAAAGCTGGAGGCATCACACTACCTGACTTCAAACTGTATTATAAGGCTATCGTAAACAAAAAGCATGATACTAGTACAAGAACAGACCCATAAACCAGTAGCTACAGAATAGAAAACTCAGAAATAAAGCCACACACAACCGTCTGATCTCTGACTAGGCCAACAAAAACAAGGAATGGAGAAAGGATCTCTTTTCAATAAATGGTCCTGAGATAACTGGCTGGCCATATGCAGAAGACTGAAACTGGACCCTTACCTTTTACCACATACAAAAATTAACTCAAGATTGATCAAAGATTTTAATGTAAATCATCAAACTATAAAAATTCTAGAAGAAACCTAAGAAATGCCCTTCTTGACATTGGTCTTGGCAAAGAATTTCTGGCTAAGTTCTCAAAAGCAGTTGCAACTAAAACAAAACAAGTGGGACCTAATTAAATGAAAGAGCATCTGCACAGCCAAAGAAACTATCAACAGAGTAAACAAATGATGTACAGAATGGAATAAAATATTGACTAATGATGCATCCAACAAACGTTTAATATCCAGAATCTATAAGGAAGTTAAATCAACAAGGAAGAAAAAAAAAAACATTTAAAAGTAGGCAAAGGTCAGGAGTTAGAGATCAGCCTGACCAACATGGTGAAACCCCATCTCTATGAAAAATACAAAAATTAGCTGGGTGTGGTGGTGCGCACCTGTAATCCCAGCTACTCAGGAGGCTGAGGCAGGAAAATCGCTTGAACCCAGGAGGCAGAGGTTTCAGTGAGCGGAGATTGCGCCACTACACTCCAGCCTGGGCAACAGAGTGAGACTCCATCTAAAAAAAAAAAAAAAAAGTGGGCAAAGGACATGAACAGGCACTCCTCAAAAGAAGATATACAAGTGGCCAAGAAACATATGAAAAAATGCTCATCATCACTAATCATCAGAGAAATGCAAATCAAAACCATAATGAGTTACCATCTCATACCAGTCAGAATGGCCATTTTTAAAAAGTCAAAAAACAGATGAGTAGGTTGTGAAAATTTTCTCCAATTTTGTAGGTTGCCTGTTCACTTTGATGGCAGTTTCTTTTGCTGTGCAGAAACTCTTTAGTTCAATTAGATAGCATTTGTCAATTTTGGCTTTTGCTGCCATTGCTTTTGGTGTTTTAGACATGAAGTCCTTGCCCATGCCTATGTCCTGAATTGTAATGCCTAGGTTTTCTTCTAGGGTTTTTATGGTTTTAGGTCTAACGTTTAAGTCTTAAATCCACCTTGAATTAATTTTTGTATAAGGTGTAAGGAAGGGATCCAGTTTCAGCTTTCTACATATGGCTAGCCAGTTTTCCCAGAACCATTTATTAAATAGGGAATCCTTTCCCCATTGCTTGTTTTTCTCAGGTTTGTCAAAGATCAGATAGTTGTAGATATGCGGCATTATTTCTGAGGGCTCTGTTCTGTTCCATTGATCTATATCTGTTTTGGTACCAGTACCATGCTGTTTTGGTTACTGTAGCCTTGTAGTATAGTTTGAAGTCAGGTAGCGTGATGCCTCCAGCTTTGTTCTTTTGGCTTAGGATTGACTTGGCGATGCGGGCTCTTTTTTGGTTCCATATGAACTTTAAAGTAGTTTTTTCCAATTCTGTGAAGAAAGTCATTGGTAGCTTGATGGGGATGGCATTGAATCTATAAATTACCTTGGGCAGTATGGCCATTTTCACGATATTGATTCTTCCTACCCATGAGCATGGAATGTTCTTCCATTTGTTTGTGTCCTCTTTTATTTCATTGAGCAGTGGTTTGCAGTTCTCCTTGGAGAGGTCCTTCACGATTTACAAGAAAAAAACAAACAACCCCATCAAAAAGTGGGCAAAGGATATGAACAGACACTTCTCAAAAGAAGACATTTATGCAGCCAAAAGACACATGAAAAAATGCTCATCATCACTGGCCATTAGAGAAATGCAAATCAAAACCACAATGAGATACCATCTCACACCAGTTAGAATGGCAATCATTAAAAAGTCAGGAAACAACAGGTGCTGGAGAGGATGTGGAGAAATAGGAACACTTTTACACTGTTGGTGGGACTGTAAACTAGTTCAACCATTGTGGAAGTCAGTGTGGTGATTCCTCAGGGATCTAGAACTAGAAATAGCATTTGACCCAGCCATCCCATTACTGGGTATATACCCAAAGGACTATAAATCATGCTGCTATAAAGACACATGCACACGTATGTTTATTGCAGCCCTATTCACAATAGCAAAGACTTGGAACCAACCCAAATGTCCAACAATGATAGACTGGATTAAGAAAATGTGGCACATATACACCATGGAATACTATGCAGCCATAAAAAATGATGAGTTCATGTCCTTTGTAGGGACATGGATGAAATTGGAAACCATCTTCTCAGTAAACTATCGCAAGGACAAAACACCAAACACCGCATGTTCTCACTCATAGGTGGGAATTGAACAATGAGAACACATGGACACAGGAAGGGGAACATCACATTCTGGGGACCGTTGTGGGGTGGGGGGAGGGGGGAGGGATAGCATTAGGAGATATACCTAATGCTAAATGACGAGTTAATGGGTACAGCATACCAGCATGGTACATGTATACATATGTAACTAACCTGCACATTGTGCACATGTACCCTAAAACTTAAAGTATAACAATAATAATAAAATAAAATTAAATTAAATTAAATTAAAATAAAAAGTCAAAAAACAACAGATAATGGCAAGGCTGTGGAGAAAAGTGAATGCTTACCCAGTGTTGATGGGAATGTAAATTAGTTCAGCCACTGTGGAAAGCAGTTTAGAGATTCCTCAAAGAACTCAAAACAGAGCTATTATTCAACTCAGCAATCTCATTACTGTGAATATACCCAAAGGAAAATAGATCATTCTACCAAAAAGACATATGCATGCATAATGTTCATCACCACACTATTCACAACAGCAAAGACATGGAATCAGCTTAGGTGCCCACCAATCATTGATTGGATAAAGAAAATATGATACATATACACCACGGAATACTCCACAGCCATAAAAACGGAATGAAATCATGTCCTCTACAGCAACATGGATGAAGCTGGAGGCCATAATCCTAAGCAAACCAATACAGGAACAGAAAACCAAATATCACATGTTATAAGTGGGAGCTAAACATTGAGCACACATGGATATAAACAGAGGAACAACAGACACTGCCAACTACTAGATAGGGGAGGGAGGAAGGGGGATGTGAGTTGAAAAACTACCTATTGGGTACTATGTTCACTACCTGGGTGCAATATACCCATGTAACAAACCTACAGATGTACCCTCTATAACAAAAATATGTCAATTTTTTTAAAAAGACAATTTCCTGTGCTTCGTGTGGTCTTTATAAGTCTTTTGATCACTCAAGAAAACAGTTCTCTCTATTTAAAAAGCTAAGGTTTTTCTATAATTATGTAACTTTCTTTGAAGTATTTTAATTATCACTCTGCTTAAATGACTACTGTTGCCAGTGACCTCTGATCCTATTTTAATTATTTTAAACCCTTTGACATTTTTTAACCACTTCTCAAAATCAAGCATTAAATTAAGGCCTTTCGACCTCAAACCAACTTTGGAAGTTTCCAAACTGACTTCTGGAATTTCTCAAAGGAATTTTTTCCTCTCTTCTTATAAAAAAGAGAGATGTTAAACTAATTAGGCTTATTTGATGTGTTAAATTGCATGGGAAGCATTGTCAAATAATAAGTGTTGCTGAACCATCTTTAAGTTATATTGCATGAGTATGTTATTAATATGTTTTCCAGAAATTATATGAAATTCCCAGAAACTTGATAGTCTTGACATATTACTATCACTCGTAATTTTAATTTTTAAAAAATACTGTATATACAGAAAAGGAAACAAAATTTTCTTGTCAATTGCATTATAATTAATTTTCATCAGACATTTAACCATTATCATTTAAAGTCTTGCCATCCACAGACAGTTAATTGTTTTACTTTGGTATTTTCCTGAAAGCTATTGAAAACAACTATAAACCTAAATTTTTCAACTTTGAGGGGATTCATGGAAAGAACTCTGACAACATAGGTTTCTGATAACCTTAGGTTCACACAATTAGATTAGATAAGAATTTCTAGAATGCTAATGAATAAATTGATTGGTTCATAAAACCACTAACCCCACATCAAGCAGAACACCAATTAATTGGTTGCTAAGGAAATGCTTTGGCAGGTTTTCATACTAAGTCAGCCAGTACTGAAATTGTTAAGATATACAATTTGAATGAGCTCCATAAGATTGATCCAAGTCAAATTACCTATGATGAACTATTTCATAAACAATGCTGTGTGCCTGAATTGGAGAAATCAACTGGTATTTAAAAGGATGTAAATTCAATGTTAAGTGTGGGCTAATGGAGGGCTTGGACAGTTGCTTGGTCCTTCCTGAGTCCTTAAAGCTTTAATTATTAGAAGCTCTGTACTCCTTAACTCATCACAGGAGAGAGAAAATAATCCCAATTATTTTAAAAAATACTGGCAGGCTGTCTGTTCTAAAATTCCTAAAATGGTTTATAACCACTGTCTGGTTTGTCAAACCCATAATTTTGACAAGACAATAAAACACTCAGATGATACATTTCCAGCACCTGCTGGATCATTTGAATACTTACAGATGGACATCACTCAATTCCTACCTTCAATGAATAGTTTCTGGATGTACAGAAGCTTTCCCGTCATGCAGGAAGGTTGCTGATATAACAGTAGCTAAAAGGTTATCATGAAATGTGTTTGCTTTATGGAATACTCCTGGAGAAATTTCCAGTGGTAGAGGCGCTCATTTCACTGGACAAGTTATAAAGCAGTTAAATAAGTTATTACAAACACAATGGTATTAGGCAAAGCTAACTGAATTGACTGTATTGCCTTGTTCAAAGGTATTACTGATTGATGGCAGTCAGATCCACCCCCCTTGGAAAACACAGATTGACCCCTTATAAAATAGTTACCGGAAGGTGTATGGCCCTAATAATAGCACCTCATGAATCTCACACTTTTATAAGTTCTGACATGACTTAATATTGAAAGATTTTAATGCATTATGCTAAAGTATATTTTTACCAGTTAAAAGAAACCCTTTGTGACCCACCAGCTGATGACAACTAGATCTTTCATGATCTAGAACCCACTGAATGGGTCTTTTGGAAGCAACACCAGAGAAAGACTGCCCTTGAGCCTCACTGAAAAAGATCATACCAAGTTCTTCCCACCACCCACACTACTGCAAAATTTCAGGGCCTCAAGCCTTGGATCCCTATATCTCAACTCAAGAGAGCCCCTCCAGACTCTTGGGACAGTAAATCCACTGGAGATCTCAAGGTAAAGCTGACTAGGGAAGCTTTTCTCCAGAAGCAAATGGCATCCTAGATGTGGACAGCTTTCCCAAGATCACAGGTCAAGACTGTTCTCCTCTGTCACTATGAAATCTTTGTTCCCTTTCCTCTTTGTTTTCTTTTCTGTTTATATATGGCAAGATAATGTGATAATTAAGATTTCATAATTGATAGCTTTTGCAGGGAACTAGACTGAATGTTGACTATGTCATGTTAAACCTGAATCCCTATATGATCTTAGAGATATTCTAGTTCACCATGTAACAAATTTCACTAATATTCCAAGGGTGACTATTTGTTCAAATTGCACATCTGGGCTAAGCGCAGTGGCTCACGCCTGTAATCCCAGCACTTTGGAAGGCAGAGGCGGGTGGTCAGGAGTTCGAGAACAACCTGGCCAACATGGTGAAACCCCATCTCTACTAAAAATACAAAAATTAGCCAAGCGTGGTGGCACACGCCTGTAATCCTAGCTACTCAGAGGCAGGAGAATTGCTTGAGCTGAGGAGGCGGAGATTGCACTGAGCTGAGATCATGCCACCACACTCCAGCCTGACAGACAGAGCGAGACTCTGTCTCAAAAAAAAAAATTGCACATCTGGTTCTTTCCACATGATTGGGTTTTTAGATTCATATATTCAGACTCTTGTTTAAATCTAATAGTAGGAAAAACCTATATTGAGGGTTTTGCAGCTAAATTATGCCAGAAACTAAGAAAACCAAAAGAAAGATAAGTTGACAGTTTGTAGACAACTTTATAACCCTAATCCCTTCTTATTGGTAAGAAGTAATCTACCATACAATGATTCAATAATGGACCCTTGGATAAATATTACCAGTGCTTCCCAACTGGTGATTTCTAACACACAAAGTATCACACAAGGAACTGTCTCTTGTGCCCCTCCAGGATATATTTTTATCTGTGGAGGATTTAATGATCAACCATATGTGTGGGCAACTCCTTGTCTCAAGTGGAAAATAAGGGACCAATGTGGATTAGAGATTCTAACAGTACCACTGTCACTTCATAAGCAACTGGAAACTGAACATTGTTCTGTATCTCTTAATTTGTGCCATGGATTAACGAGAAATTGTGCTTGCTTTGGCAGCACATATACTAAAATTGGAATGATACAGAGGAGGTTAGAATGGCCTCTGTGCAAGGATGACACGGAAATTCATGAAGCGTTCCATATTTAAAAACAAAAATAATAAAGAGGAACTTTCCGGCAGGCTTAAATCACTCTAAATGGGCATCTTTTGTAGAATGGTTCTTCTTTGGCTTGGCATAAATGTATATAGAGTTATTATTAGAAATCTGTCTCAAATATTAGCTACTATAGCTGACTCTATTGCAAAGGCTATCGTTGCCCAGAATCCTTTATAAATTCTCTTGCTAACATTGTTTTAGACTGTTTTGGACTACTCGATGAACATGGGAATATGTATGCAGTGGCTAACATCTCATGCTGCCCTTTCATAAATATGTCTGATACGGTAGAAACTCAGTTTTAAAAAGTAAACAAACAAGTTACTTGGTTAAAACAAGTAGATTCCTCTTCTGGCTCATTTTTTTGATTCATTTTATTATAATTGTTTTGGTTCATGGTGGCCTCTGTTAAGGAATACACTTCACTCTCTTAGTATTATCCTCCTGATAACCATCACAATAGTCTCCCTGGTGTTCTATATTCTCTCAAGTGTCTTAAATGCTCATATACAGCCATCTGTTGTACATCAAATGGTCTCACTACTGTTAAAACAACAAAAACACAAAGAGAACATAAGGAATCATTCAACTAGCCTGATGCCATGAATTATGTATTTCATACCAAGACCAAAAAAGTCCATGACGATGGTGACAGAGTGGCATCAATGCCCAATTTTGAGAGACTGACTAATAGGGAGAAATTGTTAAATTAACTTAAATTTGGCCTGAAGCTGCCTCCATACCTTGCATTCCTGTGCAGCAAACCTCACCCTAACGTAGTATGTAAACAAACCAATACACAGAAGAAATAGCTGAGTTTCAGCCAATCACAGGCAGCCAAATCATCACACCATGCCCAAATAAGGCAAATGCCTAGCTATAGCTAATCAAATGATTTCTCTGGTTTGCTTTTGTGTCCATCCTATAAAAGCTCATTGCTCAGGTTGCTGGGCAGAAAGAGCTCTCCGAACTCCTTCTAGTTCTGAAGTTTGCCCAATTCAAGAAATTTTTTTTGTGTGTGCTCAAATAAACTTTGGTAAATTTAATTTATTTAAAGTTTTTATTTTAACAGTTATAATACTAAAATTTGGAGACATTTGTGCATTAAAATAGCATTCCTTTCAGGAATTTATCCCCAAACTGCAATGCTGCTTTTCACATCCTATTGTCATTTTTAAACTGTGTTAAAGAAATATTAAATTCTATACATTTTATATCAACTTCTTTATTTTTTGTGAATGAGCATAATTATGTTTTCTGGGTTACCTTGCCATATGGATGCATGCTCTCTGAGTGACATTTATTGTTGGTCTGACAATCACCTGCTTACAATCTTTCAAGTGGAAGGAGAGATGCAGAACAACAGAGGTGGGTAAAAGTTTTATGTCTGTTTCCTGCATTGATATTAAGTGCCTGATTTCCTGTAATTAAATAAATATATATTTAGACTATTGAAGGAAAAACCAGAAAAGGGCCTTCAATAACAGGCCTCAAAGTGAAATGTCCAAAGGAAATAGCCAAACTCCCCATTGCCTTCTGGGTAGAACTTTAAAAAGAAGAAAGATATCTGTTTTTAGCATTAAGCAAGGGCTATGTGAAATCAACAGGAAGAGAGAACACTGAAAGATTAAATTAATCCAAGATCTGTGTCTTGTGCTTCTTAAGTTATTCTTCCTATTTCCATTTTACATGTTTATCCTCAAGAAAAACTATTTGTTTTGCATTTACTGTGTTCTTTAATAAACACAGCCAGATGCAATCACTCACATCTGTAATCCCAGTAATTCAGGTGGCTGAGGTAGGATGATCACTTAATGCCAGGAGCTTGAAACCAGCCTGGGCAACATAGCAAGATCCCATCTCTAAAAAACAATTTTAAAATTAGCCCAGCCTGGTGTCATGCCTATATTCTCAGCTGCTTGCGAGCGTGGAGTGGGAAGAGCATTTGAGTCCAGGAGATTGAGGCTGCAGTGAGCTATGATTGCACCACTGCACTCCAGCCTGGTGACAGAATGAAACCCCAATCTCAAAAAACACAAAAAATAAACAAAAACCTCTGATTTTTTCTAAGGATTTAATTATGATAGACAAGTCACTCAAAGATTTAGACACAACAAATTATGATTTGACACAACAAAGAAATACAGTTTTTAGTCTGATTTTAACTCAGCAATATGAAAAGCATTACTTTCTTTCTCTAAGCTGTCTTTAAAGTAAAAAGCTAATGTTTTTGATGAAATGTAATGCGTTGGTCTAAGAAATTCTTATTACAATATCTGTAAGTATATTCTGTTTTCTTAACTTTGTCCTTGAGAAATATTTAATAGTGACTTTTATTGCTAAAATAACTTTCATGAAAAATGTATTGACTTTAACTGACCCAAAATTAATATTGCCCTAAGTCTATACAGCTATCAAAAAATGTTTTCCTTCACTAAGATTATCCCTTGAAGGTTGCAATAAAAGACTTGATGTTAACTTCTAAGGTTTTGAAAATCTGTAACCCAAACTGTAACATTTGATGGATTAATAGTATCTCCTCCTTTCACCATCCCAGTTAGCCAATGACAGATTGCCTTTGAAATGTCGAGGCTTTAAAGAAATGAAGAACAACCCAAATTCAGTGTTCTTAACCCCACCTTTGATCGTTATTATCAAATTTTAAATCCTAAAAGGATTTGATTTTAAAAATTAATCCTTGTATTAACATTGGCAATCAAAGCACTTACAACCTTAAAAGACAAAAGAAGAGCATTCTCAGAAGCCTGAATTTAAAACAAAAACAAAAACAAAAAAACCCCTGCAATGTTTAAGGCTAAAAGGAACTTCAAAAATTATTCTGTCCTGCTTTTTATTTTAAAATGAAAAAGCTTCCGTTATTAATTCGCTGGACTGACAACTTAAAATGCTCTTCCTTCACACCCTACCATATCTCCATTAAATAAGCATTCTTCCAGTGGACCTCAAATATTATGCATCAAAATCTTCCAAGTTGCTTGTTTAAAATGCATATCCCTATTATCATCAACTATCATTATCATTATCATCAATAACTCTGACTCAGTAAATGCAGATTGGGTGCAGTGGCTCATGCCCGTAATCCCAGCACTTTCGGAGGCCAAGGCAGGCAGATCACTTGAGGTCAGGAGTTCGAGACCAGCCTGGCCAACATGATGAAACCCCGTCTCTACTAAAAACACAAAAATTAGCCAGGCGTGGTGGCACATGCCTGTAATCCCAGCTACTCGGGAGGCTGAAGTAGGAGGATCACTTGAACCTAGGAGGCAGAGGTTACAGTGAGCCAAGATCCCATCACTGCCCTCAAGACTGGGCAATAGAGCAAGACTCCATCGCAAAATAAAACAAAATAAAATAATGAAAAAGCTTCCCTTATTAATTCACTGGATTGACATTTTAAATGCTGTTCTTCATAGCCTACCATATCTCCATTAAATAAGCATCCTTCCAGTGGACCTCAAATTTTATACATCAGAATCTTCCAAGTTGCTTGTTTAAAATGCATATCCCTAGACATTAGCAACAATAACTCCAACTCAGTAAATCCACATAGACCCAAGGAATCTGTATTTTCAACAAGCATCCTTCGTGACTCTAGGACAGGTGGTCCATGGAACAAACTTTGAGGCATGATGCTAGGCAATAATATAAACAGGCCATGTACTTAATATTTAGCCTGTCAGTGGAAACATTTTGTCTAAAATTTGAACAACTCCAAAGGCAAAAGATGTACTTGAGAAAGGCAGGGCTGAATAAGAGTCATTTTACAATAACATGTTTTTGAAACTCTGTTTCATTACTTAGGAGAATACCAATAAATGGAGGTAAAGGCAGTGAGGGAGGAGATCCTTTGTCATTATATTGTACAACCCAAGGACATTTTCCTAGAATTTTGGAAGTGCACTTTAAGAGACTGCATAAAACGTGGGGGAAATGTCAAGCCACATTATGCTCTTAAAAGCAAAACAAGAAAAAAACCAGCTTCTAAATAGGTACTGAAGAATGCCATGCAGTATTATGATTTTCATTTCTAATAATATAAATGAACATCTTGAGTTTAGTTAGTATTTTTTTCAAATTCTTTTAGAGATAGTGTTCTTTTTGCTGAGGTAAATGTAGATGAATAAGAAATGGCAGAACTTATTCTTAGGTGATATGAAATAATGTGAAATAATGCTTTTATCTATAAAGCACAGGGTTTTTTAAAAAAAAACCATTTGAAATAAATTAGTGTGATTCTATTTTTAAACACTTGTATTTATATAAATTCATATGACAGCTAAAGCCTTACCCCAAATGTCATAAACTCTACTGGGTTTGCAGATTGCTTTCTATTAGTGCATTAGTGCATTTCTTTTCAATGAAACTAGTCTTGCTTTTCAATTGTTAGATTTAACAATTTTAGGTAAAAATCAGTGGTCTTATTTTTTATTGTTTTTCATTAAAAGGTCAAAATATTTCATAGTTTAAGAAAGAAAGTAAATGGAACAAACCAAATGACTTTAATTTTGATACTTATAAAAATCACAAATGGATCAGTTTAGGTATATAAAAACATTAGACACTCGTATTATTTACAGCCTTCCCCAACTGGACAAAATCTAGACCCATAGAATTGACACAGGATAAATTCAGGGAGGCCTACCTACTCCTAGATGGAGCTGCCCAGGAAAATCAGAGGGCCCCGATGGGACCCACCACTCTGAAAACAATGCTTAGTTCCTTCAATCAGCAGCAATCCCAGCAATGCAAACCACTGAAGACAGTCCTGAGGTGTGGACAGCCCCAATGTGTGGATGCCTGATTTGAGTTCACAGTAGGAAGGATGATCACCAATCAATGTCACAATGGTCAAATTCCAGGGGTGTTCCTCATCTATAAATAACCAATTCTGGGGGGTGGTGGTCCCAAACAGGCTTCAGGACTATAAGCAGTTGTTCTGAAGCACAGAAAAGGATTTGTTTCTAATACTAGACACAACACACCCAATATGAAGTTCTACAAGGACCCTCTGAGAACTAGTAAGCCTGGTGGCTGCACGTCATTGCCAAATTTACTTCTAATAGTCTATTGACACGCACTAGAGATTCAAGATTGCAAAACTCAACCCGCTTACTTGGTTTGTTTAAATACTTTTGCATAAAAAAGAAACATATGAGGAAATTTCAAATGTTCCGTTTTATAGTACAATCAGTTCGGAAAGTACTTGCCTCAAAGTTACTAGCAGGCCTATTAGTGGTTAAGAATTTGCGGCCGGGCACGGTGGCTCACGCCTGTCATCCCAGCACTTTGGGAGGCTGACGTGGGCGGATCACAAGGTCAGGAGATGGAGAACATCCT
The DNA here is from genome assembly GCF_000001405.40 of Homo sapiens. Lineage (NCBI taxonomy): Eukaryota > Metazoa > Chordata > Mammalia > Primates > Hominidae > Homo > Homo sapiens. Next base: position 131,087,452 of record NC_000003.12, on the reverse strand, counting down.
GGCCAACATGGAGAAACCCCATCTTTACTAAAAATACAAAAATTAGCTGGGCGTGGTGGCACGCGCCAGTAGTCACAGCTACCCGGGAGGCTGAGGCAGGAGAATTGCTTGAACCTGGGAGGCAGAGGTTGCAGTGAGCTGAGATTGTGCCATTCATTGCACTCCAGCCTGGCAATGAGGTGAGACTCTGTCTCAAAAAAAAAAAAAAAAAAAAAAAGAATTTGCATATTTCTTCCTTTTGGCATGAATCCTCATACTAAAGGCTGCACGACAAAATCTCAGAGGTAAAAACTAGCTTTACTTCTAGAAAACAGCCGGAGGGAGGAAAGGGGGGTGAGTAACAGTGAAATAACGAACAATTATAATAACTTTCATTATTGAAAATCTACTAGGAGAAAAGCTCTGATAGTCACTTTTTCAACATTCATTATTTCAAATCCCTATAAAAACAAAATATATGTTATACTCTCTTAAGAAAAACGGGTCAGAGAAATGAAATAATTTGCTGAAGGAAATGGACAAAGATTTGAATAGGAGATGCCAAAGTCTACACACTTCCCACTATTTAAAACCTTATCTAGTCTTCCATTGAGAGAAAATAATCATATCATCACATTAAAATTTGCATTTGTGTACAAATAGTTTATGTGAATATGTATATGTATTATAGAAATAGAGATGGATAAAGACACTGAAAATAATTGAGAATAAGCCAAGAAAAGGAGCATCTATCCCAATACCCCTGGTCCTAGTTCTGCCCTGGATTTAACAGTCAGAAAATCACTCCACTTTCTGGGGTCCTGTTTCTTCATCTGTAAAATGGAATTAATAAGCAAGAATTTACTTCTCCTCAAAAAAGGATAGGGGCATGTTAAAAAGACACAGGAGCCAATCTGAAGGAACCCCATTAGCCAAAGTTGGAACAATTTGAGCAACAAAATAAACAGTGACGGTACTGGGTGTAACCCATATAATATTTTAAAATCCATGAGTTCATACTAATATAAATAAATAACTGAAAAAATACATGGATGGAGGAGAAGCAGCAGCTCTTCCTTACAGTGGAATACCAATTAGTAAATACAGAAAGAATGAGAGAAATATATAATCACAATTAGGTAAAGAATAGAGAGTAAGAATCGCCACAGGCAACTTCACTGAAAGAGACTAAAATTAATGAGTGAAGATTTGAAAAGAAACAGGCTATTATTAATAGAAAACTCTCAAACTATCTTACCCAGGATATTTATCAATTTCAAAGGGAAAAAATAGTAACTTTACAGTGAAAAACCCCACAAGACAGAACCTTAACCAAGTGATCAAAGTTAACATCATCAGTAATAAGATACAGCTGGTACCCCTTAATATGATGTACTGAGAAGAATACAATACTACTATTGTAGTAGTCTTGCCAAGAATATGTAACCTCAATCTAATCGTGATAAAACATTAGACAAACCCAAACTGAGAGACATTCTACAAAATAGCTTGCCAGTTACCCATCAAAAGTGTCAAATTCATAAAAAACAAGGCAGGAAAGGGAAATTGTCACAGATTAGAGGAGACTAAAGAAATAGAACTAAATGCAATGTAGAATCCTGGATTGGATCCTAGAATAGACCAAAGGCATAAAGGGGAAAACTAGTAAAATATTAATTTTCCTAGTTTTGATAATTATACTATGATTATATAAGTTGTTAAAATTAGGGAATGTATTTAACTGCAAACATATTACAATTAAAGGTGAAGTACTGGGTTCCTAAATCACATCCCATGCTTTTCTACCTCTGAGCCTTTTATCACATCATTCCATTTAGCTGAAATGTCCTTGCTCTATTCTTCTTGGCCTAATCTTTCCCGTACTGCGAACTCAAATAGAATGCTAGCCCCTTCATGGTTCCCATGGTCAGAAGTCATTTCTCTCTCCTATTACCCCCACAGCACTTTAACCATACCCTTCCCATAACACATACCACACTCCCCCTTGTATTTTAGCAACTGATATAAATGACTCATTAATCCTACCTGAAAATTCATTAAATATTATCATATTATCTCTGTTATGCCACACAATGACTATAATTGTATCTGACACAGATCTGGGGCTCAGTAATGGCTTTTGGAAAGTCCCTTGATTACAATTGCCATTGTGAACTTCAAGTTCATAAGGCATCAATAAATAATCCAGATTGCCAACGTATTCATACACAATGAGAGCTAAAACTGCCAAGGCAATAGGGAACTCATCTCAGGTTAGCCAGCATATTTTTTCCTATTAGAGGAGACATATATGGAAAGCTAAATTAGGATCAGAAGGTTGCCTGGGAAGCAAGGAGAACAAGTTGTGCAATTTTCGTGAATAAGAGCAACAGGCTAAATGGCTTGATCATAAAACTACACTCACTACAGGGCCAGACTCTCTTGTTCTCAGCTCTGGGCCTCATCTTTGCTTAGTGCTCCACCAATAATGACAAATTTTTCCTTTATGACTATTTGTCTATTTCCACACTAACTATTCTCTCCTTTTGAATTTTTAAAATTATTTATTTTGCCATTCTCAGCCCTGGCTGCATTTTAGAATCACCTGGAGAACTCTCAAAACCCTGATGCCTGGGCCATTTCCGAGGATCAATTAAATCAGACTTTCCAGAGGTGGGCCTCAGGCCTCAGGATTTTTGATAGCTCTTCAGGTGATTCTAAGATGCAGCCAATGTTGAGAACTAGTACTACATTGATAAAATTTTTATTTACCTATGTTAATGTCACCAAGCAGAAAATAGAGAAGTCCAACATTTCCTGCCTTTTTCCCTATCATATGTTCTCTCCACCACAACCACTACCACCACCCTCTCCTGAAGATATGTGATCTCACCCATTCTCTAGTGTGTCTACTAATTTAATGCCTAGGTTTCTGGAGATGCCTTGTCTTCACCCAAATGGAAGACTTTCAGGCAGTATCTCACAGGTCTCCAGTGCAGCACATTGTTAGGTATATCAGCACAGTAAGGTAGGACAAAATACTTTTAACATATACAACAGGTAGAAGGATTCAATATTTTATCATTACCATTAGTGTTTGACAGAAATCAGGTGGGAGGCAGCTGGAACCAAGAGGTAAAGAATACATCAAAAAATATCTTGAGTGCTAACTTCTTTGTGGTTCACTATGTGGGTCCACGATGTGATAGAAAAATGAATCAGAAAAAGATCAATCCCACATGCTGAGAATCTGACATGGCTCATATGATGTAAACTGTGCTTTGTACCATGAGAGATAAAGATTCTGTGAGAGTTGAGGGGATTGGGATTGGGGTGGGGAGTGATTTCTAGCCACGAGTTTATGAGAGGCTTTGTTTATGGGAAAGGAACCTTGTTTATTGGAAACTTTGATTATGAGAGAGGAGGTGGCATTTAAGCTGGGCCTGGGAGTCAGGGTAAGATTTGAAGATGTGGGACTAGGAGGAAGGGCATTCTCAGAGGATATGGCCTAAGCAAAGATGAAAAGGTGTGAAACTGTGGAGGATGGGCAGTAGTTCCATTTCCTTCCTACATGGAGGAAAATAGAAGACACCAATATTTGAAATATTCTGCCATTCTGGTAGTTTTGGAACTATTCCCCATCAAAGATTTGGTTAAATCTTGACCAGAAATTATGAGAGTTCAGTTGTCTGCTGTTTTACACTCATAATCTGATGTATGTGTCCAAAGGGTTAGGTAGTAGATGCAGAAGCCTCACTAATGCATTTATATATTTCAGTCTTGAAAGGCCCCAAATTAAATTACAGAAGAGGGAACCTGGAGATAAAGAGATAAGCCATTTCAATGGTAGTGATAGCATTTTTCTATGAGGTGCAATTTTGGTCACCTGCCATTTCCTATACTATTATTTTACCTTAATAAAAAGGATAACACCAGCCCTGTGCCAGTTAAGAGTAAATTTGGGTCTGATGATGAGAAATATCTCTGTTAACAAGAACGGAGCAATCTGTGCAAGTCACTCCTCAGGAGTCCAGGGAAGTGGCAACCTGCCAGCTCAGTGGCACACAGAGCCCAGGCGGCCCCACAGCTGTCTCTCAGCACTGCCAGCAGCCATCACCATGGCAACAGCCCCTCCCGGGAGAGCAGCTCAGCCCACTGAAACCACCCATCATTTAAAAATCAACACAGATGATTCCGGATGAGATCCTCTGCAACAACAACAAAAATCTTATAGAACTGTCCCTTCTAAGAATGTAATTCAGACAATATAGACTGTGAATTAGATGGGTGATTCTCGAAATTCAGTATGCTTTGGGCTCATTTGGCAGGCTTGTCAAAACACAGATTGCCAGAACCCCACCCCCAGAATTTCTGATTCAATGCAGCTGGCTGGGGTAGAGGCAAAGAATTTGTATTTCTAGCAAGTTCCCAAGTGATGCTGATGATACTGGTCTGGGGTCACACTTTGAGAACCACTGGGTTTCATACTAGCATTGTATCACTGTTGATTTCCTGATTTTGATTACTGTACTATGGTTACATAAAAGAATGTCCTTGGTCTTAGAAAATACTCACAGCTGTATTATATTTAGGACAAAGGAGCATCATGTCTGAAACTTATTCTCAAATGGTTCATTAAAAAATGTAGGTAGAAAGATAAAGCAAATGTGGAAAAATAACAATTTGGGAATCTGGATAAAGGGCATATGGAAGTTCATTGTGTTACTCTTGTAACATTTCTGGTAGTTTAAAATTACATTAAAATTATAAATTTTTTCAATTAATACAGGGAAAGAAAGTTATAGCAACATATACTATGTATGTCTAATACGGTAGCGAGGAGCCACATATGGTTATTTAAATTTAAACTAACTAAATTTAAATAAAATTTAACATCCAGGCCCTCAACTGCACTATCCGCACAGCAAGTGCTAAAGAGCCATGTATATGACTAGCGACTACTATATTAGACAGCACAACTATAGCCCATTTCCATCAGCACAGAAAGTTCTGTGAAATAGTGCTGACTACAGTTTAAAATATTCTAAGACATGGAAAGAGTCTTTGAAAAAGTCAATGTCCTAAAAGCAGCAATAGAGGTAGCAGTAATAGTTATAAGCAGTATGAGTCAGTTGTTTCTAAAATAACACAGTTTATTAACTGAAGGAGGCTAAAGAAGAAATATGAACAAATTATAGCAGGTGGATCATAGTATGCAACATATGCATATGCAAGTATCTGTAGTTTTGCACGAATTGGTGACATATTTGCCAGAGTAAATATTCAATATCACTGATCACACCTGACATCATCTTACTGATTTTCTCAGCAATCCACTGGATGATGGACAACCAGATATCCAAATGACCTGGTTCTTCTCCACTCACCCTCCACCCTGTCCACTTTCCTCCAAGCAAAGCAGGGTCAAGACATAGATGGGAAAATACCCAGCAAGGCTGAGGCTGACCTGAAGGGGAATGGCCAAGACATGGAATATTTCAAACTTGTTCAGATATTTTAACTTGGCTATTGGTTTCATTTTGGGTGATACATCAGCTAATGTGTAAAGCAGGCAAGGTTGTTCTCGCTGCTATCCCTTTTCCTTCTGAGCTTCTTTTCTTTCTCCTGTCTCTTCTTTTCTCTCTCTCAAACAAATGGCACCTTCAAGTTAGGTCGAGTTGTCCAAAGTTTCTGGCCCAAACAGAACTGCCGTCTACTCTAAAGAGCATCTTTTTTCCCTCATGTCTTTTGGGCTCCAGCAACATCCAAGTGATAAGCTGACTTCATCCTAAAGTATGAACAGTACCAAATTCTCCCAAGGTGCATTTGGCTAACCCTAGCTTCCATAATATTCTGGGAGATACTTTTTGAGCGTAGTCATCTTTGGGTATTCTCTACCTGACCCAAGCCCTGTCAATCCTCTCTCCATAATGTCTCAGGAGTAAACACACAGATTCACACTGCAGCTACACATTGTCCACTTTCCCCTCTCCCACTTCTCTAAGCAGCTTCACACTCCCTTGGGGCTCAGTAAAATACACAGCTATTACTTGGATAGAACTCAGAGTGGTTGGAAAAACTGTAAATACTTCAAGCTGTAAACCACAAATTGATAAATATGAGGAATTCTTGTGGGGAAAAAAGCCATATTTCCATTTCCAAACTTCCACTGAAGAAATTAAACCATAGAGCTGGAATCCAAAACTCAGGACATATACCTCTACTCTAACCAAGCATCTGTTAGAGCATTTAAATGTCCGTCTAAGCATCAGACCATTCTAGAAGGTTTGCCCTTCCCCCTATCAAAAAATTGTTGATGCATTCTTCTGCAGTAATTTCTCCTTTTTGTTTTTTGTTTTTCTTAGAGATAGGGTCTCACTCTATCGCCCAGGCTGGAGAGCGATGGCATGGTCCCAGTTCACTGAAGCCTTGAACTGCTAGGCTCAAGCAATCCTCCTGCCTCAGTCTCTTCGCTAGCTGGAACTACAGGCTCATACAACCACGCCCGGCTAATTTTTTTAATTTTCTGTAGAGATGGAGGTCTTACTATGTTTCCTAGTCTGGTCTCGAACTCCTGGATTAGCAATCCTCTCACTTCAACCTCCCAAAGTGCTGGGATTACAAGTATGAGCCACCACACCTGGCCTCCACCTTAAAATATATTCTTTTTTACTGAGTTTGCCAATGGAGGGAAAAACCCTTCCTTAGAAACAAGTTTTGTCAATTATCTACAGATAATCATTCTTAGCTGCAAGACATGGGATCCCAGGTCTTTACAGTTCAATTTATGGTGTGATAATTGGACTTTTAAGATCTCTTTACAGAAGGCTTTTTACCATTCAGCAAGTTTTTATAAAGACTTCCAAGAGAAAAGGAGAGTCTCACCTCACAGTACTCCGTGATAATGCAGAAATTATCTTGCTCCACAAAACTTGCATGGAACTTGACAATGGCTGGGTGGTCCAGCTTGGAGAGGAGTTGGGCTTCCAAATTGGCCTGTACAGTTTCATTTGGATTTAGTTCTCCAACAGATATTTCCTTAAGTACCTTTCTGAGATCAAAAAAAATTTTAAAAACATTTAGAGCTGAAAAACACATTTAACAAATATCATCAAGTGGTACAGAGCCATTAATTAATGCCCAGGTTGTGACCTACTCATATATCTGGTATTGCCTATTATGACACTGTGTCTCCTGGTGGGACCTGGGCCTGTTTTCCTGTCCTGCTTCCCCAAGGCCTCTGACCTCCTCATCTGTGTATCCTACAGTTCTATAAGGGCAGCCATGGAACTAATCTTGAGCAATATTGCTGGGGTGGCCCTTCCTCCACCTCTCTAGATGTTTCAGTGTCTCTTGGTTTCTCTTATAGTTATCTATTTCTGTCTGTCTCTTTCTATGTGTGTTCATACACACACACACACACACACACACACAAACACACACACACATATATATATGTAATCCATCACTCTGTCTCCCTGTATCTTATTCTTTCTTTGCCTATCTTTCCTTCTGTGTCTCTGCCTCTTTCTGTGTCTCTCTTTGCCTCTGTGTATGTATTTACATGTATTTACACACACTCACAGGCATGCTTCTCTCTCTCAGCTTAAAATTTTCCAAATATATCGACTTAATATCAATAGGAGCAATATTTATTTATTTTCTTTTTAAAACTATCCTTGGCATATCATACTTCATTACTACCAGTATTTAACAGGAAAAATTAACTAAAAACATTAATAGAGATATTTAGTATTTCTAACATGTATAAATGAAAGAAGAGCTCATTAAATCCCCAAGTCATTAATTTAAAAATTGTGATAACTCTTTGGGAATAGACCAAAACATTATCTCTTCCCATCTAAGAAAAAAAAGAGTCTGATAAACAAATCAATTATAGTACCAAAGTGTGAACTAGACTATAGGAAAAAATACTTTAGAACACCAATTATGTTTGCAGACACAGTCTGATGATTATAAGCAAGCATTGGCAGTTCATTAGGGCAAGTGCTGCAGGACCTGTACTAGAAAACATTTTACAAAAATCTTCTTTAGGAGTTGCTACTTATGCATATCAATAAAAATGTATTATAGTAGAAAATTTCTTTAGGCCCTTTAACCAATGCATAGATTAACCATCATTCTCCAGTCCTTCCTAACAGATGCTGACAGATGCCCTTGCCACAGGGAATGCCTCCAGCTAATAAGCTCTCCTTGGCATGCCCATGAACTTCTGCCCTCCCAGTTGAGATGTATGCTTACCAAGTCATTGTGTTTATTCCCAAGCCTGCTAATGCCAGTTATGCTCATCATTGTAAATTTATGACTTCAATATAACTTAAATGAAGAGTGAGCGTGAAAGTTATCTCTGCTAGGAAAACTAAGTCAAATGATTACCAAAAAACTTGAAAATAAAAAGTTGCAAAAATAAACAGCTGTCAAGTAACTGAAAAGACAGTTCTAAAAAGGTTAAAAATGTGAAAATCTAGTATTCTGAATTCAGATTGTTACAGAAAATAAATCTAGAAAACTAGGTCCTAAAAAATAATATAAAAATAATATATATTTTATGGATGTAGTTTATGCAAAAAAAAAAAAAAGATGAAGGAGTCTCTAACCAGAGGACATTGGATGCTGGCTATACAGCCAAAAACTGGAGAAAATGTACAGTTATATATTTTAAGTTGATGTAAATGTTTTAATTAATGTCATTTTATTTTAAAATTGTTTCCTTTTTTTAACCAAGTACCAGCTTCAATCACATTGGAGAGAAGAGCTTCTACCATTTTTAAAAATGTGATTATGCTATTAACTTCTCAGTAATTCAAACAAGCCTCTCCCTCTGTTTTACAATGGAAGAACCGTAATATCCTCAGGCATTACCAGAGGTAGAGCTTTCTTCTTGTTTCATATTCAGGGTCTAGAAGTTTTGATATTGCAGTCAGCACACTATTGTATAGTATTCCCCCATCCCATTTCTCAGTGAGAGACTACAATTAAAAAAACAAAACAAAACAAAATTAAAAACTCGTTACAATTCTAAGTTAGGAAATCTGTCCTAGAAGCTGAGAGCCTAAGTAGGAAAATGTAGAAAGTGCCCTTATCCTATTCCGGGGTTGGGTAACGTTTGACCTTTTTTTTCCCAGAGCAATAAAAGCTGGGTTAAGTTTCCATTCTCCAAAAATCTCATAAGGAAAACCTTCTAATCCAAGATGACCATTACTGGGAAGTCACTTCCCCTGAAATTTGAGTCCTTTAATATTTTATTCACTTTAAATATTCTCCATGGTCTTCCCATTCTGAACTCATCTCATTCCCAAAAGACAACCAACAGCAGGCATAAGCTGCTTCCACAAAGAGGAGGCCAATTTGCATTAGAAAGGGCAGCTCTGCCTCAGGAACCTCACAGGCAAGGACTCAACTATGCCATTAACAGGTGTCTTTAAATGTGACTGCAATACAGAAAGTTGGAACACTTGTCTTCCTTCCCCTAACGTGTTTTCACATTGGTTTTAAACAGCCTATTAGGCTCCTATTTAATAAGAAGTAGATTCTAGAGAAATGCCTGCTTGGTAACACTCTGAAGAAAGGCTGTTCTATCAAGAATTTGGTTTAAAATGACCTAATGTTATTAGGAGTGGCATTTCAGACTGTTAGTATACCCAAAGAAGCTAGAAATGACATACAAGACACTTTTTTTAACTACTGAAGATTACAAAGCAGCAGGCGAAGCACAAAGACATCTTCATAGAGCTTTTCAGTAATTTACTGTACCCCAGCTAGCATGCAGTTATAAAAGTCACAGTGGTTAAGCATGACAATATAAAGTCTTACCAACTTGCAATATTCTCTTGCTGTGAAGGAATAAATGCTCTAAAAAGCTTCAGGATACTTATTTTTCCTTGCAAACACCAACTATTGTGCAGCAGAGCATGAGCAATTTTACATATAAAATGTAAATACCTGAGCCCCGTCTGGCACCTTGATGATAAAGCATAAAATCTCATTTGTCCACAGTTTAGCAGATGAAGGTAGGGCTATTAAGACAGGTGATATCTATTATAATCTCTCTAGCTGATGCGGAGACGTTCACCTTCCTTACCTAAAATCACGTCACTGAGCTGACAGAGGAAACTCTCATTGCATATCACTTAATACGAGATCTGTATCAGCCAAAGACAGCATGGAAACTTACCAAGTCAAGGGACAGTTTGTCACTTGCTCAGTGATTCCAGCCTGTCACCCCTCCTAAATAACATGACAGACATTTATTTTATCAGAGCCTCAACTCAGGAGAAATTTCAAGACAGTAGCAAAACGAGGCATCCCCGGAGACTTCCCAAGTTACATGCTTTCTTTCTTTCTAGCATCAGTGAACTGACAAACTTTGAGAATAACTTTGGAAATTCGGGATAACTATGGCTAATTTCATTCCCTTGAAATTGGCCTACCTTTTGCAGAAATGGGGAAGATGATATCTTTGAGATATTAATTAAGGGTTACTTTTCTCCAAATTTTCACATATCTTTTCACATTTTCCCCATTCAACCAGCAGCATACACTGCTTCAGGTAAAAGGTGAAATCACTACAGAAATATGAGTCAAACACATGTCTTTTGAGTTTTTAAAGAAAAGACCAAGACTAAAGAGAAAGGATCTGGAGGAACATATGAACAGTGAACACAGTGAACATGTATGGTTGTGTTTTTCAAAGCTTCAAATTGCAATGAATGCTATAAAGTTGAGGTAAGGATGTCTGAGGCCTTTCTGATTTCAGAGCTGTGACCCTGATGTGATTAGCAGCTACTGTACCCACTTAGCCTAAGCCACAGGAAATTTTAATTTCAACTTAGACAAACGAGTAACTTTTTGGCTTTGGATTTTGCTTTTGTGTTTTTTTATTTATCATTTGCCTGTTTTACAAAGAGAGATTATGAAATATAATCAGGGGTTTTAAGATTTTTCATCCCTCTAGGAAGGCAGGAATTATTTTTATCTGCCTTTCTTAAATGGGAAGGTCTCTTTTTTCTAATTTACAAGGAAATAGTTTCATTATAGAAAAATTTAAAAACACAACATAAGGAAAATATTACCCACAATCCAACACAGAAATTATCAGAATTAACATTTCTGTGTATTTCCTTACAATCTTTTTGCTACATGTATTTCTTAATAGTAGAGGCCAAACAGCTTACACAATTTGCTTACTGCTGTTTTCATGAGACATTATTGTAGCAGACACTTGTCATTTGTGGCTGCCCACTTTAGACAGCTTCCTTACACTGTGGCAGATCCCTGGGCTGTGAGTCTTGCCTCCCATGGAGAGATAAAAACAGACAAACCAACCCTATGACTCCCAGCCTCTCTTGAGCTTGGGTGCTGATGTGTGACCTAGGTTCTGTCAGTCAGCTGCATCCACCCGACACTTTGATGTGAGTGTGAGCTGCATCAAGAAACAAGGTGGCACGGCGTCTCCATTTTGCAAATATATGTGTCATCAGAAACAGCATGGCCCTGAGCTCAAGGGCACTAGGTCACTTCACTGGTGATGTTCTGCCCTCTAGCCTGCTCCCCCAGCCCTCCCACCACTGCTATGAACTATCTGTGTTCTGTAACAAATCCTTTTCTGCTTAAACTGGCAAAGGGTGGCTGCTCTTACCTGCACCTGGGAGTCCTGATCAGTGCAATTATGCATCACAGAAGTACTTTCAGGTGTTACCACAAATAACTGTAAACACTTTGGGGCAATGAAAGCCAAACCTCCAAAGGTCTGGCTCATTTGGGTTCATTTTCATTTCCACCTTAGACTCTTCTAATGTATTTAAGGCTGCGGTAATTCTTTCTCCATTTACATGTAGATAGAAATTGATGGTGGAAAACATCCTGTTTTAAAGTTATTTCATCTCTTTTAATATGATATATAACTTTTAAAAGTAAAGGGGCATGAAAAAGATATATAATGGCAGAGAGTAATATTTATTTAAAAAATTGGCACATTGATAAAAATAATGGAAAAGCCAGGAAACAAAGTTACATAAAGGAATAGCTGGTAGGGGAAAAAAAAGAGTAGAGGTTAGTAGCAAGTATACTACATTATACTACAGATGGAGTTTCATTTTATTTCTGTTGTTTTTCCTTCCCTTGGTAAAACAAAAATATTATTTTTATGTCTGTGTCACATTAAAGGACAAAATTATTTTATGGGTTATCCCCATATGCCACAATATGCACTGCTTTTTGTTTTTTAACAATTAAACCCGTGGAACTAGCTCATTCGGGGGTTAGAACTCTCTAATTCATCTTGTCCATTCTACGTACCCCGATCACAAACATGTAGCAGAGCCTTTGGACACAGCAGGGGTTAAAGGGGCATCATGGTGCAGTGCAGGAATGGCAAACTGTAGGTGCCCATGGCAGACATCAGCAACTGAGGAACAAACTGCCAAAGACTTTGAGACAGGAAATCTCACGCTTCTGTTACTTTACTGTCTATTAACTATCTTCTATGTGCCAAATACCATGCCATGTGCTGGAGATATAAAGACGAAAAAGACAAAACTCCTGCCCTCCAAGAGAGCTCAGTCCCATGGGGAGGCCAACAAGTATATAAATAGTTGGACAACTTCATGATAAATGCTAAAATAGAGCTGGGGGTGGGCAGTAGGATTCCTAACCTTTCTTTGAGCAGGAAGAAAAGGCAAAATCCACGGTCTAGAGCTTCAGGATGTTCACTTTTGCAAATGCAAACCGCTTTATACTTGCTGCATTGCCTTTTCCCTGGGTGGAGCTCAAGCAGCAAAATAAATGAATGTATCATTCTTTACCATTTGCCCTGTATAAGTCAATATCCAGTAGAAGAGTGTCTGCATTTGCATTACCTGAATAGGCTATGAAAGTTAATCAGCATATGACTCTTTTAAAAAATGACTTTATACATTATATTATATATTACAATATTTTATATATGCTGTATATTTCCTTAGAGTAAACACATACATACACATACACAAAATCACACTATACATTATGGAATGTGGAATTAAAATGTTACAGGGAGGAGGAGTATTTTTTAAGAGACATATAAAACTGTAAAACTGTCAGGTTCATAAACCTCTCCTTCCCTCCTTGTTTTCTTTCTTCCTTCCTCTCCACCCATTTATTCCCCATTTTTTCCAAAAAATATTTAAGCTTTACATAGCAAGATCTTTAAAATAAGCATGAGGAACCCTCCCATTAAGCCATGCTTTGCTCTGAAGGACTCTCTTCATTTGGGTCCCCTAGAAGGCGAACCCTGAGACAAGGATTTGAATGCAAGTAGTAATTTGGGAAGTAATAGGAAAGTGGGGAAGTGAGACAGGAGGGGAAGGAAGCCATGAAAGGGTATATCATCAAGACAGTTATCACTGAGGGCAGTTGGAGCTTAATTCTGTCAAGAAACTCTGGGAGCTAGTGTAGAACATTAACCTCAGAGTTCTCCTGCCCAAAGGGTGAGGAGTAATGGGGCTGGGATACTAATCCACCAATTCCCATTATTCACTGGCTAAAATTGCTCCCTGGAAGTATTAATTCCTCCACTCTTCTCCCTTGCCAGAGCACAGGAAATCCTAATGGCTAGAAAGAGCACTCAGGCAGAATTGCATGTGCAGGCAGTTGGAGGCTGAGTCCATGCATAAGAAAATGTTAAGTGCCCAGGGGATATAGGCAGGACCCCAACACTGTCTTCCACAGGATAAAAATAAAGGAAATTCCTCCCATTTTAAATTCTGGCCCGGTTTCCCTATACTCCTGAAGATGGCTAGCAAATAAAGATTCCTAGACAAAGTAAAATAAAGTGCCTCAAATATTCAACAATGAAACTGCAAACCAATTACAACCTATAGATAAATTCCATTTACTATGCTTTTCAAGACTGATTTTGTTTACAAATATTTTAGCAGCATATGAGTATTACATACAGATAATAGGCAAATAATTAATAATACAGCTAATAAAGAACAAAAAAGGAGTAAAATTATTTCAGATATTTTTGTTTGGCAAACATGCTATTTCTGGCTGCTGTCTAGATTATATTTCCATTTGTGGTGACAACTTTCATGCAGTGTCTCAGTGCTGGTACTATAACAAATCATTGCAAATTGCCTTTTAGTTTTAAGGAGCAGAAGAGGATAAACAAAAATTCTAGGAGTAGGTGGTTTGAAGACAAATATTGCATGAATAAAAAATATCTAATAACCATCATGTGAATTCTATGACTTTTCCCATCTGTATAAATAAGCAAAATAGAAATGACTTGAGCACATGTCTCAAGGCTGGAAATAGTGCTGGTGCTCCCTGGAGTTCTCTGCAGAGAATCTCTTGTGTCAGTGCAAGAATAGAGCTGGCGTCCAAATGGACCATGTCCTGCATTTCCCTAGAGGGCTTCCTGGAAGTCACATGGAGAAAAGATAAAATGTCTGACCGCTGTGTCATGCAAAGCCCTTCCCCAAGCACATGACCAAAGAGTTGATAGCCAAGCCAAAAAAAATGCATCAGAGCATGTTAATTCACTGGGGAGCAACAAAAGTCTGCATTTGTTCAGGCAGTGTTAAAAAAGCTTGTGCATTTGTGCCCTCACAACATGACAGCCATTTCCCCCCCATTTCTAAGTCACAGCCTCCATAAAAGCTGCTGGGGCTGTCTCGTAGAAGAGTGGAGAAAAAATTGCCCTTCCCTCTTCTTTTACCTACAATATGAGTGGATTCCCTTCATGGAGGAGACAGCTTTCTGGAACTTCTTTCTATTTACTTCTCTAAAAGTTCTCTTTACAACCAAGGATGCCTTGGGTCAATTCTAACTTCCCCTTAAAATCATATACAGCTCCTCCTTGTCCCTATCTTTCTCCCCCACAACCTGAGACAAATGGTCAAGCAATTCTATTTTTCTTATTTATACAGATGGGCAGAGTCATCGAATATTGTGGCCTCCTTATTGTGAGAAACACTGATGACTGCCTACCCCACACAGTCATCCCCCAACACCCCTACCATCATATGCTCTGGAAAGGAGGATCCTCCCCTAGTTCCTGTGGTGAATCATAATTGGTCTGGAAAAGATGTTCCTCACTGATAAAAAGAGAAGCATGAGAGGAAACTCTTCTTTAATCCACCTCTGCATGTGATCATCTGCATTTGACTCCTTGAACTATGGCAGCCAGCTGGAGCCATGAAGTAAGCCACCCTAACATGAGTGGCAGAAACATGGAGAGGTAAGAGAGAAGGCCCCAACGTCCCTGATGATGTTGCTCAGCTGCTGAATTAGTCAAACCAGAATTGCTCTCTCTCTAGACTTCTTGATAGGAGGACAAGAGTTTCTTATTGTTTAAGCCATTTTGATAGTATCAGCCATTTCCTGATACTACCACTTTGCTACAAGAAGGAAGAGGAGATGTTTAAAGAAGAAGAGATTAGAATCAGGGGTAGAGAATGTAGTACAGTAAATATTCCACTCATTTGTAAATGCTTAAGGTTATAAAAACCCAAATGATAAAGTTATTTAGGTATAGCTATGCTGTATAAAAAGATTAGAAGAAAGGTAAGCCCTTTGAGAACTGGGCTATGTCTTACTTACTTAGAAAGCAGTTAATGAGTCTACTAATTTAAACAAAAAATGTATAACTTGGCTCTTTTCTATTTGAGCATTGATATGAATCTTTTAAAAATCATGACAAAATGAACTACAGTGAACTACACAGAAATGAACCTATTGTGAGAAAAAAAACTGGGGGACAAATGACTAAAAATTCTTTGTTATTAGTACATTTCAAAACTAAAACAACATGATATTTGTTTAATTTGAAAACATAATTCAAAATTATTTTATATAAAATTTTTTAAGTTATTTAAAAACATCAGAATTCAAAATTATTAAAATTCCACCAGTGTTATCCTTCTTCCCTTAGGTGATGATATAGAAGTAATAATAGCAAACAGAAGATAATCTAAAATGAGAGGCAAGAAAGAAAAGAGTGAAGCAAGGGGAATGGATGATTCGCCAATCAAAAAATATAAAGATTTTAAAATAAATACTGAGTTGAAAAAGACCAAGAAAAAAAGAATTCTTAAAATATTTGGTTTTCACTCTCTCCTGCCAAAAAAGAAAAGAAAAAGAAAATACACTTTACAAACAGTAATAAATATACCTTTTTCTATAGTTCTCTAGTGATAGGAGATAAAAAAGTACTAAAAATGCAAGTTTATAAAAATTTGCTTGCTAACATACTTGCTGGAATAGCTTTGATCTGGAAGCTGAATTACCCGTGGGAGCTGATAATAACATTAGCATAGACAAAAAAATGGCAGATATTCATACCTGAAAAAAAAGGTTTTGCTCTGATGTTTCACAATATCTCAGAGAAATGATAATACCCATTGTAATGGCCTGGCCCAAGAGAAGCACAAAGCTACCAAATTTTCTTAATGTGTTCCCCCCATATTCAGCTTCTTTTCCAGTTTTGAAATGGATTTTATGTTTTTGTAGAATTTTAAAGCTGGACAAGACCCTCAGAAAGCAGATAATCAAAGTACCTCAATCAATTGAAGTCCTGGGACATTAAGCAATTTATCCAAGGTCACAAAGCAAGTTACAATGGAGCCACCATTTACCTCTTGAAGGAGGAAACAGACCATCAATTCTGAAGAATAGACTTTTGTCTCCAGATTTAATGGTTTTCCCTTTCTGCTGTTAGTATAGAGATCTTCAGTGTCTAATGAGTAAGACAGTCTAAAATTTTTCATTTTTCAAAGAACAAAAACTCCTGACATCTGCTTTCTTCCCTTCCCTAGCATTAAAGAAAAAAAGAAAAAAACAAAAACAACTTGTCGTTGTGATTGGAATAATGGTTTTGCTTTCGATGAGGCACTAATGACCCTATGTCTGTTCTTCATTATCATTTGAGAGTTACAGAAATCTCACGGAAGCTAGGAATATTGCCAATTATAGCACCGCAGATTTGGAGGTTTGGGAAAAGACATCATACAGAAGAGGGAGGCAGTGTTTCTCAGGACTTACTCTCCTAACAAGGTGGTGAAGTCTACATTTTGAGGTTGTTCCAAGTACCACAACCCTGAAGGTATAATTTTGTGTGTTTGAGGGCCAGTCTTTTTAAAAGTTCAACTGAGCAAAATTCATTGATTTAAAATTGTTAAACAATGGAAAAGTAGTAATATGCCTTAAAAACAAAAATAAATATTGATAACATAAGACTCTAGGCAACAAATCACTCATTCACTCCATTACGCTTTGAGAAGTTCTGAGCTTACAGCAAAGATCCTACTTATGCAGGCGAGGAAATTAAGGAGCATAACAATGTTAATAAGGATATAAAAAAATTTACCACAGATAATTTGGTTAGCTTCTGTTACAATTATTATATGCTCCAAATTTAAAATTAGTGTTAGGTTAATATTCAAAATGCAATATTCTAATGAATAATTCATTCCAGGTTTGTATTTTTTTTTTATTATACTTTAAGTTTTAGGGTACATGTGCACATTGTGCAGGTTAGTTACATATGTATACATGTGCCGTGCTGGTGCGCTGCACCCACTAACTCGTCATCTAGCATTAGGTATATCTCCCAATGCTATCCCTCCCCCATCCCCCCACCCCACCACAGTCCCCAGAGTGTGATATTCCCCTTCCTGTGTCCATGTGATCTCATTGTTCAGTTCCCACCTATGAGTGAGAATATGCGGTGTTTAGTTTTTTGTTCTTGCGATAGTTTACTGAGAATGATGATTTCCAATTTCATCCATGTCCCTACAAAGGACGTGAACTCATCATTTTTTATGGCTGCATAGTATTCCATGGTGTATATGTGCCACATTTTCTTAATCCAGTCTATCATTGTTGGACATTTGGGTTGGTTCCAAGTCTTTGCTATTGCGAATAATGCCGCAATAAACATACGTGTGCATGCGTCTTTATAGCAGCATGATTTATAGTCATTTGGGTATATACCCAGTAATGGGATGGCTGGGTCAAATGGTATTTCTAGTTCTAGATCCCTGAGGAATCGCCACACTGACTTCCACAATGGTTGAACTAGTTTACAGTCCCACCAGGTTTGTATTTTGAATATTACAGAAAAATACAAGAATTGCAGATTTCAGTGAGACAATCAGATGACAATAAAATCAAGATACAGTAACAAATTGAGTTTTAAGAAGCAACAAAAGCTGATTAGCTCCATTTCCTTGAGTAGGTAAAAATGAGAAAAGATAAACACTGTTTAAAGTAAAATTAAATTATAATCTAGGCAAGAAGTTGTTTAAACTAATAAACTAAAAATAAAAAATAAAAAAATCTAGGGTTTTAATGAAATAAAGTTCTTTAACCTTGTTTATAATAGCAGTGGTTTGGCTGTCTTAACAGTAAGACAGCCAAAATAGCAAAAGTTTATAATTCTAAATTTCAATCTCTATTTCATCATCATGGCAAGTGTAATATGCAGGCTTGAGCTACAACTTTTTAACTATAGGATAAAGCCAGTTGTTACTGCATTTAAGTTTGAGATGGAAAGGGAAGAAAATGAAACTCTGTATAAGCATACTTCCCTTAGAGGGTTTAAACACTGATTCTGGGTCTTATATTTTTGCTGAGTTGTGCTTATACCCAAATAAAAGTCTATTTTTGTGCACCTAAAAAGTCAGGGCATAACCTACCAAGACAGATCAAAGGAGAATCTACTACTAGGAAGGATCTAGTTTCCCTGAATGACAGCTTATGGATTTAGTCATTGATTTGTAACACACACAAAGTCACAAAGCACTTGCTACAGTCACAGAGATGCTGTGTGGTTTCTCCCGCCTGCCCAAGTTGTCTACAGGAGCTCTGCAGCAGAGACATCCTCCTCAGGACATAATGTTGAGTAAGGGACACTAAAAAAAAGAAGCTTGGGCGTGGTTTTCTATGAGTTTTGTTTCTAGAGATTCTGGAATCTGAGAATAAGTCAAAATATTTTCATGTTAATATGATCAAAGGAAAACATTAGAATCAAAAAGTGTGATACTTGAATACAAAGAAGGGACACAGGGTCTTAGAGCAGTGCTTCTTGAATTTTATTGTGCATACAAATCACCACAGGATCTGTTCAAATGCTGCTTCTGGTTCAGCAGCTCTAGAGTGGGGCCTGAGAGCCTACATTTCTCAGGTCTCAGGTGATGGCTGCAGCTGCTTGTCCAGGGACCATACTTTGAGTAGCAAGGCTGAGAACAGGCAGGGGTCTGGAAGACTGCCAGGGCTAAAAGTGTTGAAGAGCCCCAGTGTTCTCTAGAGGCTTGGGACAGAGGGTGGATTTGAAGAGCAGACCAACAGACAGGGACTGTGTCCCCCTCCATCCCCCAACCTACTCACCCCTCCTTCCCAGCAACCTTGAAATCTCATTTGAAAACAAAGAACTGGGAACAGCTGCTAGTCCAGCTTCATCATCTTACAGATGAGAACACTGGAACTCAGAGAGGCCGCAAGAGTGGACTACATGCCCTCCTGAGAAGATTCCACAGCCAACACTGATATGACCCCAAAACCGTCCGTTTTAAAATACTATGAAGAAAATCTTCCTTACATTTTAACCCAAATTCTTTAAACTATAGTTTGCACTGGTTTCTTCTTGTTCTGTTCCCAGTAATGATAAAGTACAGCTGCCCAATGACCCTTTGAACATCTCTTATTACATAATTTATTACCTTAATGTATTTATACTCAGCCTCATTTCACAGACAATTTGACATAACTTACATAATACAACAAAAAATTAAGACCAGCAAGAATAGAACACAAATAGGGAAAAGAACACAAATATGCTGGCCAGAAATTATTGCTATGATTGAGCTTCAAATTTAATTCCAAACTTCTTGAAAGGTATTTTTATTATTACTATTAGTACTATTGCTGTTGTTGATGGTAATGTGATACAATTCTTGCCTATTACGAGGGGTATTTCAATCTTTGGATCCTGAGTGTCATAAGCCAGTTTTAATTTTAGTCACATAACAGTGAAGATGTTTCCCAAGGAGAACATCAGTGGTTCTATTGAATAGAATTCATTCAGAAACAGAATTCCAACTTACATATGAAATAATGCACTTTGATGTCTAACTTAAGAAAAGCTTCTCAACTATTACCTTAATTCCAGTTTCTAAATTCAGTGCACGTGTATGGGGCACCTGATCTGTGGAAGGTACTTTACTTGTCACAGGCACAGCCTCTGCCTTCAAGGACTTTGCAATCCAGTGGCAGAGCAGAGACAAATAATTAAAAGCTATAAGAAACTGTCATGCACCTTAAAAGGATGAAATCAATATCCTAAAGAGGTAATCAAAGACCAAGATATGAGATAATCATGAGAAAACCTCTACCCACTAAAATAGTGATACTGGTGATGATTATGGCAATAGTAAGCGCCATACATGAGACAGTTATTTGGCACCATGTACTGTGCTAGGAAACTATTAAAATCCTCTTGAAATAAAGAAACTAAGACACAGAGAGATTAAGACACAGAGTCTGTTAAGTGACAAACCACACTCAATAATAATGAAACTGAGATCCCACTTGTAAATCCTCTTTTTCTTTTCTTTTTTTTTTTTTTTTTTGAGACAAGTCTGGCTCTGTCGCCCAGGCTGGAGTGTGGTGGTGTCATCTTGGCTTACTGCAACCTCCGCCTCCCAAGTTCAAGTGATTCTCCTGCCTCAGCCTCCCGAGTAGCTGGGATTACAGGCATGTGCCACCATGCCTGGCTAATTTTTGTATTTATTTTTTTTTAGTAGATATGGGGTTTCACCATGTTGGCCAGGCTGGTCTTGAACTTCTAACCTCAAGTGATCAGCCCGCCTTGACCTCTCAAAGTGCTAGGATTACAGACAGGCGTGAGCCACCGCACCTGGCCCCCACTTCCAAATCCCGGGCATCTAACTATCTCACCCCTATGGGATGCTGCCTTCTGAGTTTATGAAGTCAAAGTCCAATGAGCTTCACAACAAGAACACAACTCAAAAATACATCTCTGCACAAGGTTGATAGTCTGAATAATCCGGAAAAAAAAGGGAGAGGTGCCCTCCTGCCCTCCCTGTCCCCAAGGCACATGTACATGTTCCAATTTTTATGAGCAGTATTTTTCAAAAATTTTACAGCAATAATCCTGACACAAATTGCTGGCAATATTGAAGAACTGCTGATTAAACAGATGGCTTGTGAGAATTTAAAATATAAAGCAGCGGCCAGCAGGAGCTCACATGGGCTTATGGAGAATATGCCAAATTAACCTAATTTCTTTCTGTGGAGGGTTGATTGGTAGATCACAGAGAAGCAATTAGTTGTGGTATATCATGATTTCAGCCCATCTGATAAAACCATGTTAACATGTCAAAGAGATGAGTCTGTGATATCCTTTTCATACAGGAGAAATGCAGTCTTCTTGTGGATTCATAGCTGGTCAAACAAGCAGACCAAATATGCTGGACTCTTGTGTCTTAGGCCATTTTTCAGGTGGTACTTCCTAATGCCATTGAGATCCCTAACAATATCCTCACTTACATTTTATTAATGACTTGGATGAAAATCTAAAAGGACACATTTACCAAGTTTGTAGAAGACACAAAGCCAGACAGCATAATCAATAGGCATAAGGGAAATTCACCTTTTCAAAATGACTGAAGAAGCTGAAACACGAGCTGGAAATCACCAAGACTAAATTTTGCAAACTAAAACCTGAAGTTTATAGTTAGAGTCAGGAAAATCAAATCCTCAAATCTAAGATGAGTGACACCTGACTTAACAGCAGAACAGCTCATCTATAAAAACTCTGGGGAAAGTATGTGGGAAGGGGAATACTTCCTCCCCCACCACCCCAATTCAATATGAAACAGTATGTGACTGCTAAAAGAGCCAATATTCCAGGCTGATTTTGAAATGTATGAAAGATTTTAGTATCATTACACTTGGTTCCATCATACCCCTGGTGTTCAGGCCTCATTTCAAGGGGAATATGGTCACCAAAGTTAGTTCAAGGAATGATTTTAAGATGTTGAGGGGTCTTAAAACCAAGTTATCCAAGGAATAGTCAGAGAAACAAGGAGATGGACAGAGCTAATGTATTTCAAGGAATAACTTGTGAAAATGTGCTAGGAATGTTTTCCTTGTCATTCATTTAAGACTTACAACCATATAGAATCATCCTTATTTTCCCCATTTTACAGATAAGAAAACTGAGACTGGTAGTTTAGGTAATTGTCCAAAGTAAGTGGAAAGACTGAGATATAAATGCAGGAGGTCTGACTTTAAGACCAAAGCTCTTTCTACTCATTGTTAATGTAATCTTTATCCAGCATTTAAATTTTAATAATAACAAGAGAAAGCAGACTAGCAAGGGCATGATAACTGTGTTGTAAAGTTCCTTCCTTGTACATGCCAGGGTTTTCATGCCTTTGTGCCTTCACTTATGCTATTCCGCTGTCTGGGACACACTGTCTCTACCCTTTCTCTGCCAGATTTATATTCATTCTGTAAGTTTGGCTCCAACGTTCACTCTTCCAGAATGTCTTCTCTACTCTATAAAAATAGAATAAGCACATCTCCATCTAGCATGCCCTGCAAGGGGTTGAAAATGCCTATTTACATTCTTGTTTGCCTGACTGGTCCATAAGCTCTTTGAAGGCAAGAGCTATGTCCAGTTTAGTTTTTATTTTTTGTTACTAACAGTTTTATTGAGACATAATTCATGTACCATTAAATTCACTCTTTTCAAGTGTACAATTCAGTAGCTTTTAGTATATCCCCAGAGGTCTGCAACCATCAACACTGTCTAATTTTAGAACCCTTTATTATCCTTATTATGGATTGAATTGTGTCCCCCTAAAATTCATATGTTGGTCTCAACCCCCAGTGCCTCAGAATGTAACTGTATTTGGAGATAAGGTCTTGAAAGAGTCGATTAAGTTAAAATGAGGCCAGCAGAGTGGGCCCTAATCCTATATAAGTGTTGTTCTTATAAGGAGAGGGAGAGACCAGGGACACGCTTGCACAAACACAGAAAGGCCATGTGAAAACAGAGCAAGGAGGTGGCCATCTACAAGCCAAGGAGAGCAGCCTCAGAAAAAAATCACCCTGCTGGCACCTTATTCTTGGACTTTCGGCCTCCAGAACATGAGAAAATAAATTTCTGTTATTCAAACCACCTAGTCTGTGGCATTTCATTATGGCAGCCCTGGAAAACTAACACAGTCCCCAAAGAAATCCCTTATCCATCAGCAATCACTACCCATTCCCACTCTCCATAGCCCCTGGCAACCACTTTTCTTTCTGTGGGTTTGCCTGCTTGATATTTCATATAAGTTGAATCATAGAATATGTAGTCTTTTGTGACTGTCTTCTTCCACTTAGCATATTGTTTTCAAGGTTTATCCAGACTGTAGCATGTATCAGTATTTCATGGCTTCTCATGGCTAAATAATATTCTATTGTATGGATATACCATATTTTGTTTATCCATTTATCAGTTGATGGACACTTGGGTTGTTTCTACCTTTTGGTTATTATGAATAATGCTGCTGTAAACATTTGTGTACAAGGTTTTGAGTGGATATATGTTTTTATGTCTTTTGGGTATGTACCTAGGAATGGAATTGCTAGGTCATACGGGTAATTTTACACTTGTAGTAAATTTCCTGGCTGGTGAGTTACTCTATGATTTCCTCAAGCTCAAGGATAATCATTTTTCAAATACTACTTTTATGTCACTCTCTTGCTAAAGATCTTCTCTTGTATTCCCCATCAGACAAAACTTATTAAGCCTCCAGTTCAAGGTATTCTATCAACTGGACCCTATCTATCGGGACTGTATTAATCATTATTCCCAAACCTGACCCATCCACCTCCTCTATTCATGATCCTATCTCTGTATCCTTTTTCTTGCTTCTGTTTCCCACTCTGTCCCCTTCCTTTCTACTACATCTGAGAAAAAGGACAGTTGCCCTCCAAGAGTTGTCTTGTATTCAAGACTCAGAATTCAGGGCATAGAGAAGATGGTCCTGGAATGAAAAATACTCTGCTGAATTATCTTAATTAACCACAGAGTAAGGGGCTTGGGTTAGATGACGTAAAAGCTCCATTCAGGCTAGATGCAGTGGCTCACAACTGTAATCCTAGCACTTTGTGAGGCCAAGGCAGAAGAATTGCTTAAGTCCAGGAGCTTCAGACCAGCCTGGGCAACATAGTGAGACCCCCTCTCTATAAAAAGTAAAAAAATTAGCTGGGCGTGGTGGCATGTGGCTGTAGTCCCAGCTACTTGGGAGGCTGAGGCAGGAGGACTGCCTAACCCTAGGAGTTTGAGGCTGCAGTGAGCAGTGATTGTGCCACTGCACTCTAGCCTGGGCATCAGCGCAAAAGTCTGTCTCTTAAAATAACAAAAATAATAATTTTTTAAAACTTCATTCATACCTAAGATTCTCTGATTCTGTTGAGAGATTATCTTCATCAGCTGGGCCAACACTGCCCTGAGATCCCTTTACTTCCATTTCTCTTGCCTAGCTTTATGTAGTTGATTACAGTGAATGCCTGAGTCTCCTACTACAGCATTAGTGGGGATCGGTTGGAGCCTGGAACTGGCCAGAATAGAGGAGATGATGTGGTGGTTCCTTTCCTCCTTGACAGTCAGAGCTGTGGAGTCACATCTCTACTAGCACCACGACTTGTTTAATCAGGCTGTGGTGCTAAATCTCTAAAACACAATGCTGAGTGAAGGAAGCCAGACGAAAACAGTCCATACCACATGGTTCTGTTTATTCAAAACGCTAGAAAAGACTTACCTATAGTCACAGAAGCATATCAGTATTTGCCTGGGTTTGGGGTGGAGGAAGATTAGAAGGAGCACAAGATAACTTTTTAAGGGTGTAGGAATGTTCTATATTTTATTTCTGGTGGTGGCTACCACAGTGTGCAAATTTGTCAAAACTATTAGAAATGTGTATTTCAAATGGGTATCTTTTATTGTCTATAAATTATTCTTCAACAAAGTTGGTTTCTTAAAAAGTCAGGCTACAGTAATGAGAGGGCAGCAGAGGAGAGAAAGTCTGCAAAGGCATTTTTAGCCTTTAACCTGGAAGGTTCTCCGGTTCAGATCACAAGGTTGAATACCTTGTTTGGTGATCAGAGTTCCAGGGAAAATAGGAGCTGCCATGTACATCTATTCCCAAGTTACACAACAATATGAAAATTACTCCACAACACTGTAGTTATACTGCTACACACATGTTCTGTCACCCTAAATCGTGTTCCTTGGTATAGGGAATGTTGTTGCCTAACAAGTTTTGTGTGCCTCAGCTCTTCCCCTAAAATGTAAGCTCCTAGAGGAGGGTTTTGGGTTTTATTTGTTGTTTGTTTTTTACTTGTTTTACTTGCTCTTTGGTGCCTACTGTTACTAGTGCCCATTGAATTCATTCGTTATCAACTCAGTTATCTTTTGATTGAACATGGTGTACGCTACAGTCTGATGCCCTGGACTCAGAATTGGGTGCTGATGACATCAAGAATGAGGGGCCTCAAGAAGGCCACTGTGGTGGTAGCAGAGGCAGCACGATGGAGTTCCTAGGCAGCAGTGCCATGGGCCCCAGCACCAGTGATGGCAGGGAGGTTGTCCTTAGTCTGGCCCTCCAGAAATCCTTGGTGAATCTGTGACCCACCCATTAAATTTATAATAAATTCCTTTTGGGCTCCGGTCAATATGCTAAGTCTTATTTTGTTGCTTGGATCCGAGAGACCTGATAAGATAACAGAAAGGAGGATACATATGTATTAGCAGTCTTTAAAGTAAATTACTTTGTGTAGAACTGGTGAAATCTTGTTTTCCCTTTCTCAGAGAAAAGCAAGAGTAGGGAAATGAAACAGAAGTAGGAAAAAAGTACACACTGTCCTTGAGAAGAGACTTTGTCATTTTATATATAGCCAACACCGAGATACACTATCTGATCATAAGGCAGAATAAAAATTAGATGGGGTCTACCAGGTATAGAAATAGCATAACATCCCCAGAAAGACTACATCCTGCCCTACCTGCCCTACATTCTACCCAATGCAAGACTTCCTTCTGTGGCAGATGGGCCAGCTAAACTCAACTTGACACCACTTAATGAGGCAATGTGCTCCTGCCTGTGATTCTTGTCTGCTAGTCCCACTTCTGCAGTCTAGAACAGCATAGATCATGTTTACCTCTGAATATACTGAAGCTCTTCAGATGTTTAAAAAATCTTTAGTTAAGGCAATGCTACTCAAACTTCAGAGTGAAACAGGACCCCCAGGATCTTGTTTAAATGTAGATCTCTAGGCCTAAGTGTGGAAAGTTTGATCTATAGCAGGTTTCAGCTGAGTTCTCGGAGCTGTAGGTGATTCTGCTACAAGTGATTTATGACTTTCATTTTTGAGTCCCTACAGTATGCCCAGTTCTGGATGGGGGACTGGGAATATAAAAACAAACAAATACAGTTCTCCAAGGAAGATATACACATGGCCAATAAGCACATTAAAAACTACTCAGTCTCTTTAGTTATCAGGGATATGCACATCAAAACCACAAGGAGACCACTTTACACATACTACATACTAGGAAAGCTAGAATCAAAAGGACAAATGATAAGTATCAGTGAGGATGAAGAGAAATTAAAACCCTCATACACTGCTGGTGGGAATGCAAAATGGTACAGCCACTTTGGAAAACAATCTGGGCAAAGAGAAGACAGTCACATGTGATACTGTTTACCAGTCTTCAGAATTATGAATGATATCTACCCAAGAAAAGGATATTTTCCATTTGATTTGCTAAATTTTGGACACTGCCTAGATACTCAAGTGGAAATTCCTTTTAGATCTCTGAAAATATGAGATTAAAAAAATGGATGAAAGATCAAAACTACAGATGTAAGCTTAGGATCAGGAAAACTTGGGAAAGTAAGTAGAGTGAATGTGAAACACACCTATACTTAATCCATCATCCTTCAATCCAGAGAATGTTTTGCCAGATAAACTTGGATTGAATTATTAGAAGGCTAGATAAATTGCCTCGATGAAAAAAGCAACCAGAGCCAGTTAACAAGGGCAAGACCAAGCATATTTTCTCTCACTAAAAATGGCCTCCAATACCTTTATGTTTAAAACTCCATGTGAGGTTATACAGATCTGCTCAAATGAGATAACTTCACCCTTGCTCATTGTTTTTAGACCCTTAGAGCCAAAATAGTTCAATTATTCTGATTGCTACTGAACTATGTCATACATCTGTCTTTTAACAGGGGACACTTTAACTGCCCTCCTTCCCCATGACAATATCCATAATATTCTGTGTTCAAGGCCATAGAATTGGCATAGTACCTGTGCAGTCACATAGGGCCCAGTGCTTAAAAGAGACTCACACTTGGATTAATGCTCTGCTATCACTGGCTTGAAATTCTTAATAATTTTTTAACAAGGGACTATGCATTTTTCACTTTGTACTGTGCCCCACAAATTATATAGCTGGTCCTGTCTGTGTTAGTCAAGCATACAACCTATTTATAACTGACTCTTGCTAAACTAACCAACCTCATTCTTGGTCACTGGATCAACTTTGCTTTTACATATTCCATTAAGTGAGGCAGGGCTCAGTTCTGTCAACCCTCTATGTGTCTGTCAATACAGTAAGTTCTCTGAAAGAGGTGCAAGATGGTGGTTGCAGATGGGGAAGTCAAGGAGGCTACAGAAACACTTAAAAGAACTAAAACATCATCTGTCAATGCAAATGGGAGTCAATTGTGTGCATACTTTGATACAAGTCCATTAAACGCATATACTTCACACTATGTAGATGGAGCTTAATTTGGCTTCTTGAAAGGGCTATATGGAATAATTAAATGCACATATCTGTACATTTAAAGGGCATCAATGAATGGTGTGCCTCTGATGGGACTTTTATTACATGTTCAAAACCAGGTTTTATTTGTTATGGGTTACATTTCTAAAGTTCAGGAAAATATGAATATTAAGTCATAATAGTTTTACAGTAACATCAAAAATATGTGTAAAACACAAAAATTAATGTACATATTTCTCCTCTTTATAACAACTTTATTGAGATATAATTTATATACCAAAAAACCTGCACACTTAATGTATACAATTTGATGGGTTTGGGCATATGCATACACCATGCTACTATTACCATATACAATTTCTTTCTGTATTCTATTCTCCAGCTCCAGATAAAAGTACCTCAAAATAAAATTCATAGTAGTTTTGATTAGCTAAAACATATTTTCAGGGGAACCAAGAAGACTGATACTTCTCCATAACATAATTTCAAATGTATTTTCATTGTTCATTAACGGTTCTCCTGAACCACAGATCAGTTACACCTTGTATTAACAATTTTTTTAATCTTTCTTTTGAAGGCTCCTGATAGAACTACTATAAAACCAAATGAAAAGATGCTTTTGAAGTACTTAATTTTTTCAAAAGAAAAAGTTACACTATTGTTAATACGGAAAATGGAAATTTTCTGGAATAGAAGTATTATTAGCTTTATGAAATTTTACTTCCATTTGGGCCAGTTGCCTCTTCTCAGTTACCTCAGTTGTAACCAGGGATAATTCCTGTTACCCAGACAGACTTGTCTGTGAGGATGGGAGAGCTAATAGGTATGACTATCTTAGCAGCTAAAATTAGGGCTGATTTCCCTCTCTTGTCTATACTGTATTATGAATCTCTTAAGGGAACTGTGATATCTTGAGGCATAAAGTTGACTGTAGTATGAATCTCTTAAGGGAACTGTGATATCTTGAGGCATAAAGAGATGAAGATAAGTCAATGGGTTGTATTTACATAAAATACAATGACATGCAGTATCTAGATATTACACCCACAGCTTTCTTTTAGTCCTCAGCCTAAAGGGGAGATTCCTCAATGTCCAAGCAACTCTAATCTGGGGCTGGTATCGCTCTCTCTAAAACTAGATTCAATGCCATCCCCATCAAGCTACCAATGACTTTCTTCACAGAATTGGAAAAAACTACTTTAAAGTTCATATGGAACCAAAAAAGAGCCCGCATCGCCAAGTCAGTCCTAAGCCAAAAGAACAAAGCTGGAGGCATCATGCTACCTGACTTCAAACTATACTACAAGGCTACAGTAACCAAAACAGCATGGTACTGGTACCAAAACAGAGACATAGATCAATGGAACAGAACAGAGCCCTCAGAAATAACGCCGCATATCTACAACTATCTGATCTTTGACAAACCTGAGAAAAACAAGCAATGGGAAAAGGATTCCCTATTTAATAAATGGTGCTGGGAAAACTGGCTAGCCATATGTAGAAAGCTGAAACTGGATCCCTTCCTTACACCTTATACAAAAATTAATTCAAGATGGATTAAAGACTTAAATGTTAGACCTAAAACCATAAAAACCCTAGAAGAAAACCTAGGCACTACCATTCAGGACATAGGCATGGGCAAGGACTTCATGTCTAAAACACCAAAACCAATGGCAACAAAAGCCAAAATTGACAAATGGGATCTCATTAAACTAAAGAGTTTCTGCACAGCAAAAGAAACTGCCATCAGAGTGAACAGGCAACCTACAAAATGGGAGAAAATTTTTGCAACCTACTCATCTGACAAAGGGCTAATATCCAGAATCTACAATGAACTCAAACAAATTTACAAGAAAAAAACAAACAACCCCATCAAAAAGTGGGCAAAGGATATGAACAGACACTTCTCAAAAGAAGACATTTATGCAGCCAAAAAACACATGAAAAAATGCTCACCATCACTGGCCATCAGAGAAATGCAAATCAAAACCACAATTAGATACCATCTCACACCAGGTAGAATGGCAATCATTAAAAAGTCAGGAAACAACAGGTGCTGGAGAGGATGTGGAGAAATAGGAACACTTTTACACTGTTGGTGGGACTGTAAACTAGTTCAACCATTGTGGAAGTCAGTGTGGCGATTCCTCAGGGATCTAGAACTAGAAATACCATTTGACCCAGCCATCCCATTACTGGGTATATACCCAAAGGTCTACAAATCATGCTGCTATAAAGACACATGCACACGTATGTTTACTGCGGCATTATTCACAATAGCAAAGACTTGGAACCAACCTAAACGTCCAACAATGATAGACTGGATTAAGAAAATGTGGCACATATACACCATGGAATACTATGCAGCCATAAAAAATGATGAGTTCATGTCCTTTGTAGGGACATGGATGAAATTGGAAATCATCATTCTCAGCAAACTATCTCAAGGACAAAAAACCAAACACCGCGTGTTCTCACTCATAGATGGGAATCGAACAATGAGAACACATGGACACAGGAAGGGGAACATCACACTCTGGGGACAGTTGTGGGGTGGGGGGAGGGGGGAGGGATAGCATTAGGAGATATACCTAATGCTAAATGACGAGTTAATGGGTGCAGCACACCAGCATGGCACATGTATACATATGTAACTAACCTGCACATTGTGCACATGTACCCTAAAACTTAAAGTATAATAATAAAAACAACAACAACAGAAAAAAAAAACTGGAAGCCCAGGACAGGAGGGCTTGCCCCTGTGGCTGCATCCCTATAGACATAGAGGGCATCTGCTTTGACCCCCTTTGTTATCTTCTCTCAAGGCAGAAATGGGAGGCCCTTGATGACACAACTGTACATCAGGATGCACAGAGCAAGTTTCTCTCTGTTCTCCACTAGAACCATAGAGAACAAGCTGGCAATGATTTCTGACCAATAGGGATATGACACAGGGAGTTTCAAACATTGTGTGTTTCTCTCACTAGAACATGTAGCATATCTTCTGAAAGAAGGCACTCTGATCTTGGGGTAACACTGTTAAGAATAAACACTAGTCACTGAACATCAGAACCATGAGCTCCCCAGGAGAAACCAAAATGAGAGTGTCTGGATGCTTTTCGGCCCCAAGTGGATGATTTCCCTGAGGTCCTTCATATCTAACCATGATAAGGGAAAAACACAGTGAGTGTCCTGACCCTTGCTAGAGGAATAAAATATCTTCAGGCACTGCATGAAGCTGAAATCTGGAAAACACAGTCTCTCTGAAAACACCTAACTCCTAACATAGGCAAGGAGACCATGTCTACAAGGGGAGAGATGGGGCAACCATCTAGATCTCTCTATTCCAATTCCATAGCGCCCATTCATTCCAGTGTGAAATCTCTTCAGCAGAGCAGAAACACACAATGAGGCAGAGACAGACAGAACCAGCCCAGAGACCTGAAAGTGAAAGTCTTCACTGATCTCAAGGCAGTAAAATGAAGCCCTTCGGAAGAAAACCCAAGTACCCCTTCTCCCCACCCTCATTCATGCCTTACTCCCCTGTAAAATGGTTCCAACTCTCCAGAAAAAGGGAACTGATTAACACACAGTATACTTGGTCTCTTTGCACTATTGCCCAGACACAGAAACATAAACATAAGTAAGAATACTGTATCCTGCTACTGGAAAAACAAGAGCTTTAGTGGTAAATTTTGCTCCAAAATCTCTTCCAATGATCTTTCATTTTGGGTGTTTTTGTCAGACTAAATATTTACTGCTGTTTAATACCAAACGTAATATGAACTACCAAGTAGCATTTACCAGATATACACTCAACACTCCTTATCCTCTTTCCTTATTTTTATTTCATGACGATTATTATTTTTAAAGACAGGGTCTCACTCTGCTGCTTGGGTTGGAGCGCAGTGGTGCAATCATAGTTTGCTGTAGCCTCAAACTTCTGGGCTCAAGTGATCCTTTCACCTCAGCCTCCCCAGTAGCTAGGACTACAGGCATATGCCACCACATCCTGATTTTGTTTTTGGTAGAGATGGGGTCCTACTATGTTGCCCAGGCTGGTCTCACACTCCTGGCCTCAAACAATCCTCCCATATCAGCCTCCCAAAGTGCTAAGAATACAGGAGTGAGCCACCATGCCTGGCCCCTTATTTTTATCTATAGCCTTTAATCACATTTTAGTATATTATATATTTGTATTTATTGTCTATTTCCTTCCAAA
Source organism: Homo sapiens (assembly GCF_000001405.40). Lineage (NCBI taxonomy): Eukaryota > Metazoa > Chordata > Mammalia > Primates > Hominidae > Homo > Homo sapiens. The sequence goes on along the minus strand of NC_000003.12, from coordinate 131,055,377 downwards.
GCCTAACTAGACTGTCCCCTCCCTGAGAACAGAGACTTTGTTTTGTTCACTGTCTGAAACAGTGCCTGACATTGTCAGCAATCTATCCATTGACCAAAGACTGAATGAAGACATTCACATTGTACATTACTTATAGTAAACACTACTTCCTAATTTTTACAGACTAAATGATTCTATTGCATTAAGCACTTGGCTGATATAAACCGCGTCTCTATTTTTTACTGCAGGACCTGAAGAGATAGATAGGTCTTCAAATCAAAGTGACACCCTTCCTGCCTGGGGAACACAGCAAGACATCAAGGCTCTCTTGCCCCAGGGATGCCATGGTCTAGACAGTTTATTAAGACATCAGCCTTGCTTGCCTGAGGCTAGTCCTTCTGCTACATCTGGAAAGAAAGGTGAAGCAAGCTCGCCCTTGGATCAGAAAAAAGGAAAAAGCAGGGTGAAAAAACTGCCCAACTGTACCTTAGAAGGGTAATTTCAAGCCTTGGTTTCACCAACTAAGGTACAACCATCAACCTAAATGATAAAACCCCTCCCTTAGCCATCTTCAGCAATTCCATATCTACCGGGTACATTCATTCATTTATTTATTTATTTATTTATTTATTTATTTATTTATTTATTTAGAGGCAGGCTGTCACCCAGGCTGGAGTGCAATGGCGCAATCTAGGCTCACTGCAACCTCTGCATCCCAGGCTCAAACAATCCTCCCACCTCAGCCTCCCAAGCAGCTGGGACTACAGGCATGTGCCACCATGCCTGGCTAATTTTTTTATTTTTTTCGTAAAGACAGGGTTTCACCATAATGGCCAGGCTGCTCTCCACCTCCTGGGCTCAAGCGATCCACCCACCTCAGCCTCCCAAAATGTTGGGATTGCAGATATGAGCCATAGTTCCCCTCCATCAGGTAAGTTGAGATATCCTTCACGGAAGAACCTCCACTCCCTGCAGTTCCTCTAGATTTATCATCTGCATCAGGACCCATGTCTCTTTTTCTCAGGCCTGCAGATTTATGAGGGGCTTCAAATGTTGACTTTTTTTTTTTCTTTGAGACAAGGTCTGGTTCTGTCACCCAGGCCAGAATGGCATGAGCTCAGCTCACTGCAACCTCTGCCTCCTAAGCTTAATCCTCCCAACTCAGCCCCCAGAGTAGCTGGGACCACACCCGGCTAATTTTTGTATATTTTGTAGAGATGGGGTTTTGCCATGTTGCCCAGGCTGGTCTCAAACCCCTGGATTCAACCGATCCACCAGCCTTGGCCTCCCAAAGTGCTGGGATTACAGGCATGAGCCACCCTGCCTGGCCAAATGTTGACTCTTAATAAGAGCTCTAAACCGGGTTACACCCTCTGTCCCTAAGACACACTGGCAGCTTGGAAAGATGTTCACCACAACTTTAAATGTGTGTCCCATTTCTGGGCCACCCCAAGTCTAATACACTAGGAATTAAAATTTATAATAATCTTGTCAGTTGTGTAGTCACATTGTATTGAATTTTGGTATGTTAATTTTTTGTCAAATGTAAATATTTAAAGCATATCCCATTTTTGTTGTCCTGTGTTACACAGTCTTATAGTTAAATAGACTTCAAAAGAATGGAAGTGGCTCAGATCCCTCTCAACTTCTAAGAGACCCTGATCTCTCATCCCATTGGCCCTTCTAATAGAGCTATTGGCATTCACATCCTATTTTCAGCCCAAATGTCAGTTCCTGGAGTACAAAGGCGGTGGCTGCTTCAGATGCTTCAGACTGAAACTGCTCTTTGCCATTCTCATGGACACTGGAGAGTTAAGTTTGGTTAAATTGATGCCTTTTTCTTTTAAAAAAGAAAGAATACACATATACCTTTGTGTACACACAAGCTAGGAAACATCAATCTAATACATGGATGGCAAGAAAAACCAGATCTGGCTCATGCCAGTTACAATGGTCTGTGAAGATAAAAAGATTTCTTCAGATTTATTTCTCAGCCAATTTCTGCTTTTCCTAGGGAGAAATTAAAAGTTTGTTAAATACCTATGTTTAGCCTTTTATTAATTTAGCCGGTGAAATTAAAAGTACTGGTAGACTGTAATTAAATTAAGACATTTTCGACCTTGAATTAATGCTGCCATTGGAAATGTTGACATGTCTTAATAGTTGGTCTGCATGTTACATTACCACCATCTACTGTTCATAATGGTCAATTTTTAAATAATGACTTTTATTCTTATTTCCCTCAGTGAATCTTTTGTAAATGTAAATATCACATATGCTTGTGACCACTAATTTGAATATGGGGCCCATGGTATCCAACATGGGTAGTATTTCCCAATTAGGGCTCCTTGGTACATTAATGCTAATAAGAGTGTCCCGGGGGGCGGGAAAGAGGAGTTCAGTAGTCAAACTTGTTTTGGAAATGCTGCTTGCTACATCCAGGCTTAAAAAGTTACAATTTACCCCAGCAAATTTAAGGATCTGAAGAGTTCTTCAGTAAAGAAACTGGTTCAATGTTGTGGAACCCAGTGTTTTCCAAGCTTGTATAATCATGGAAATCTTTTTAGGTAAACCACCTATTAATATTTTTCAAGACATCAGAGTTTGGTGCTGTAGGGCTTTAGGTCAGAGGGTACTGGGCCTATTCCAAAAACTCATAGCTGCAAGTGTTTCATTCTATCAAATGCCAACAAGAAAACTAGACAATTTTACAACATAATTTCTGCTCATAAATAATTTGCCACCAGGTTTACAGTTTTCTTATACTACCTTCGAGAGACATACGGTGGCAAGGTAACACTGTTGTCACTATCACTTCACAGCAGTTATTTCTGAAAGTGAAAAATCATCCTACCACTAGGCCTTAATAACAAGTTTATGGCAGAACTTCTCAAATGTTGCCAGCAAAACACCCCTGATAGTAAAGAAGGATAAATTCAAACCCCTGGAATGAGACTGCTAAAAACAGCACATTTCTGAAATGTTATGTTTTATCTTAAAAATTCATGCAAGAAATAGTGGCATGTTTGTGAAATGACAAATGTTCAGGGTTATCCACTGCAGTGATATTTTTAATAAGAAAAGATTTAATATAACTCAAATGCGCATGAACAGGAAAATGGTTAAATAAATTATACTACAACCACACCATGGAACATGCTATTGAGCTGTTTAAAAAAAAAAGAATGGGGAAATGTTCTACACACTAACATGGAAATATCTCCAAGATATTGTGTCATATGAAAAAAGCAAAAAAAAAAAAAACAAAAAAAACCAGAAGTGTATAATATGCTAGCTTTTATCAGAAAGGGGAAAAATAAGACTCTGTATTCTTAAGTTGCTAATGTGTGCATAAAGCAATTCTAAAAGGATCCAGAAGAAACTCTTAACAGTGGTTACCTTTTGGGGAAGAGGATGAGAACTCAAAAAAGGGGAGAGAAGGATGAGGAGAAACTCGAAACTTGATCTTTTGATGTTTTTTGAGCCATGTGAATGTGTAACCTATCAAAAATTATATTATAAAGTCAAAAATCATGCAAATGTTTTACTCTACTCCATGACATATTCAAATTTGTCTTAAGAGTTTAAGAAGCAGGGCATAACTACTCTGGAGGCTGAGGAGGGAGGATCAGTTGAAACCAGGAGTCTGAGACCAGGAGTTTGAGACCAGACTGGACAACATTGAAACCCTGTATCAAAAAAAAATTTTCTTAATATATATTTTTAAAGGTTTTAAAAATTACCCACATATTTTCACAACAGTACAACTAAATCCATATTTAAACTCTGATTGGTAGGTTATCTGAGATATGTAGGGTCTTGTGTGAAAGGTATGGGTTTAGGCCATTTAAAAGTTGCTTAAACATTTAGCCTTCATTCCATTTGGTAAACCAACATCAATACAAAAAATGATCTGGAATCTCCACTAAAAAGTACTTGTTTGACAGTTTGGGATTTTTATCTACAGGCCGGGGTATTTTAGACCTGGCAAATATTAACCCCAGGGTCCCAGGACTCATGCTCAAAATTAGTACTAACTTATTTTGGAAGTAACTACGGAGAAAATGCCACAACACTGAAATGACAACCCAAAATGTGGAGTGTCACAGAGTTATGTGCACTCCTCAGTGCCAGAGTGTCCAACGGAAAGCCAACTGGTTGGGAGGCAAGAAACCTCAAAGGCAAACCTTCTGCTTTATAATCTAACGTAACTGGAATTAAAACTCTCCAAGTATTTTCAAAATATTTTTTAAAACTTGTTGATTATTTTTAAAATTAAGTAGTCTGGCTTAAGCTAAACAATTTTCCACTACATTTCCCAAATTTTAAAGAAGTAGGCTTCATTTGGTTATACTAATTTTTTTTGGAGGCAGGGTCTCACTCTGTCGCCTAGGATGGGATGCTGTGGTGCAATTCTAGTTCACTGCAGCCTTGACCACCTCAGGTGCTAAGGCAATCCTCCCACCTCAGCCTTCCGAGTAGCTGGGACAGACTGCAGGCATGCGCCACCATGCCCACTATTTATTACTATTTGTAAAGACAGAGTCTCCCAATGTTGCCCAGTCTGGTCTGGAATTCCTGGGTTCAAGCGATCCTCCTGCCTCAGCCTCCCAAAGTGTTGGGATTACAGGCATGAGCCACCATGCCTGGCCTTACTATACTTTCAGAGAACTTTTACTAAAATGCTTTCTATATATGTGGAAAATATATGGCATTTTTATATGGTCTAATAAATAAATAAAATATAACTCAGATATAACTGATGAAACAAGCAAATGCAATATGATTAGTGTCAATAAAATGTACTAAAGGTTCCTGCATTTTATTCCAGAAGATACTCTAGGTGTAAGTTTTATGTCCTTGTCTACCTCCTAAGAATGATTTAATAAACCAACGGTGTCATAAAAGTCTCCTACATTCTTTCAAATTGAAATTTTATTTCTAGGTATAAATGAGGCCAGAATTAAAAAGACAAACAGCATGAATAGATGAACCGTGCAGCACGACCAGCAGGGAGTCATTTGTTACTGCTTTCTTTGATTCTGATCCTGTCTCAGAAGGCTGTTCTCTGTGGAATCCCTTCAGAGAAACAAACAGGCAGTGGGGACCGCAAGGGCTTAAAACTCTACTGCAATCTCCTGATGATCTGTTGGATATTCATAAGTGGCAAAATGATTCCACCTTTAGGTTTTATTTCGTTGTAATAAAGAATTATGAATAATTGATCACTAGGTAATAAATTATTCAGGTAGGCACACAGTTTCCAAGGAATCCTGGAGTGAGTCTGGTTAATGGCAAAGCAGGAGCTTGAGGCAGCTGCTGAGGGGACACCCCCCCATTAACCTCACACTGCAAAGGCATGGGTAGTTAGTGCCTCTCAGTGTGGGCTTTTCAATAGGGGCCATATTAATGCCTTTTGATTTTTTTTTTTTTTTGGACTGAAACACCTGTTTTATTTTCCCAATCTAAACAAAATTTCCTTGACGTTAGTGTTGTCACAAGCAACAACTTTTTTTAAATTGTTTTTGTTATTTATAACATGTAGTTAAAAGTATTCATAGATATATAGTTTAAAAAACAAAAAAATCCTCAGAAGATCTCTACTTTTAGAAAATGCAGTTTGAACAATATCTGGCAAATTTGGAGGATCATATATTATTGTTATAAATGAGGCAATATAGGAAATAAAAACACAAAACTGACATCTTGGTTCTGCATAGTTTATCTGACAAACTCTTGAAATAGATACCGTTTAGTAGAAAATACACGTTTGACAACACTGAGTAACATATATGGGCTAAAGTGGGCTTAACATGCCACTGATGGACACACAAATTAAGCCGTTTGTGGGACATAAGTACAAATACCAATTAAAGAAATGACAAATAATTTTGTAAATTGTCATCTAAAAGCAAGAAGAGTCCCAAAATAAATGACGTATAGAGTGACGATACAAGTGGGCTAAGTCTTAGGATAAAATTTTCATTCTTAAACTCCATACCACTAGGACATATACTGCGTAACTACTGCTGTTTCACAGGACTAGCAACCGTCAATCATCTCTTTGCTAATTGGTACAAAAACTGCACAGAAATTATGTATCTGAAATTGGGTCTCTAAATTCGTCTCTAGATTCTACATAGAACATAATCATGCTGAGTCCATACCATGAGGTCCATTTGTTATTCTACATGGATTTATGCCTTTAATCTACATGGAATGTATAACCAGAGAAAATTTAAAATGTGTTTTAGAACCAAAATACTAAACTAACGAAACTTTTAGCTAACTACAACCAAAAAGCAATCATTGTTATTGTATGTACTATTAATTAGAAAAGGCTATACTAGTTCAAGCCTTAGGTTCGCGAAGTCAAAATGGACACCAAGTCTTCCGTAGGCGGAGCAAGTCAGCAGGCAGCTATCCTCCTTACAGTGCTTCTGTACACAGGTGCCAGCGTCTCAATGCAAGAGCTCAGAAGAGAAGCTCCAAGGTCAGGAGGGCTCTACTCCTTAGGCTGAAGTGACATGTAAATGATGCATCATTCCACTCAGAAATTACTAGCCAGGACACTAGAAAAAGAAATGGTGGATAGGAGGCAGGACTAACTTGCAGCTCCCACTCAGACAGACAGAGCAGCGTGTGAAGACTCATACAGAGAACTTTTGCTCCAAGAACTACCACAGGAACATACCAGGAAAGCGAGAGGATCCACAGATCCTTTGAAGGAAGCGGATTGCTGCTGCAGGCACCTGGAGACAGCCAAAACACTCTGAGTGCCCAAAGTGTGAAAGAGGGATCATCTGCCCCCAAACACACACCCTCACTGGGGAACCTGAAGGTCCAGATCACAGAAGGATCTGACCTTACCTGGAGCTGAGACAAATTTAGAGAGCCAAGTGAAATACAGGTGTAGAAGCAGCAGCAGGAAGAGCCCTGTGGGCACTCTTGGTCCCCAGCGAAGCCGTTTCTGACTTTGTCTCACAGGGGTCCTTGGAGAGGGCTGCCAGAGGAACTGGGAAAAGACCACAGGGAGAAGGAAACTTCCAGCTGAACTTTGTAACCATTTTGACCAAACGCAGTTTCCTGGACAGAACCTGGGGGAGGGGGCGAATAGGGAGTGCAGACACAGCACAGAAGCTGCGGCAGGTGGGGAAACACAGAACCTGAAAGTCCTGCATGCTTTCTCAGCGGGGAGGCTGGTGGCCTGGGGAAAGTTCCCAGCTCTGTTCACCCGCTGCCTGGAAATAAACTCAGTGCTATTGAGAGGGCACGGTAGGAGTAACACTGGCCTTTTGGGATACGTGGGAGCTGCATGAGGCCTGTAACTGCCAGTTTTCTCCCACTTCCCTGGTGACCTGCATGATGCAGCAGAGGCAGCCATAATACCCCTGGAAACATAATCCCACTGGCCTGAGAACCACACCCACATACCCCACAGCAGCCACAGCAAGCCCCACCCAAGAAGAGTCTGAGCTCAGACACACCTAACCTTGCCCCAACCTAATGGTCTTTCTCTACCTGCTCTGGTAGCTGAAGACAAAGGACATATTCTCCTGGGAGCTCTATGGTCCCACCTACCACCTGATCCTTCCTATACTACCACAGCTGATGCTCTCTTGAAAGCGCCACCTTCTGGCTGGAGGCCAACCAACACAAAACTAGTACAATAAACAAAACTACAACCAAGGACCCTCGCAGAGTCCACTTCACTCCCCTGCCACCTCCACTGGAGCAGGTGCTGGGATCCAGGGCTGAGAGACTGAAGATGGTTCACATCACAGGATGCTGTGCAGACACTCCCCACTAGCAGTCCAGAGCCCAGTAGCTCTGCTGGGTGGTTAGATCCAGAAGAGAAATAACAACCACTGCAGGTCAGCTCTCAGGAAACCACATCCCTAAGGGAAAGGGGAGAGCACCACATCAAGGGAGCACCCTCATGAGACAAAAGAATCTAAACAGCAGTCCTTGAGCCCCAGATCATTTCTCTGATGTAGTCTACTCAAAGGAGAAGGCACCAGAAAAACAATCCTGGTAATACGAAAAAACAAAGTGAACACCCCCAAAAGATCACACTAACTCACCAGCAACAGATCCGAACCAAGAAGAAATCTCTGAATTGCCAGAAAAAGAATTCAGGAGGTCAATTATTAGCTAATCGAGAAGGCATCAGAGAAAGGTGAAGTCTAACTTAATGAAATCAAAAAATGATACAAGATATGAAAAGAAAAAACTTCGGTGAAATAGAATACATAATAAAGTGATACTTCTGGAAATGGACACACTTAGAGAAATGCAAAATGCACTGAAAAGTCTCAGCAATAGAATCGACAAGTAGAAGAAAAAACTTCAGACCTTGAAAACAAGACTTTCCAATTAATCTAATCTGAAAAAGACAAAGAAAAAATAATTTTTTTAAAAAGCCTCCAAGAGGTTTGAGATTATGCTAAACAACCAAACCAAAGAATAACTGGTATTTCCAAGAAAGAAGAGAAATCTACAAGTTTGGAAAACATACTTGAGAGAATAATCAAGGAAAACTTACCTGGCCTTGCTAGAGATCTAGGCATCCAAATACGAGAAGCTCAAAGAACACCTAGGTAATTCATTGCAAAAAGATCATCGCCTAGGCACACACTCATCAGGCTGTCTCAAGTCAAGATGAATGAAACTATCTTAAGAGCTGTGAGAAATACCTAATGTAAATGAGGAGTTGATAGGTGCAGCAAACCAACATGGCAAATGTATACTTATGTAACAAACCTGCACGTTGTGCACATGTACCCTAGAACTTAAAGTATAATTAAGAAAAAAAAAAAAGAATCACTTTATTGGAAACCAGATACATATTCTGATTAAGGGGAAAAAAAGAGCTGTGAGGCAAAAGCATCAAGTAACCTATAAAGGAAAACCTATCATATTAACAGCAGATTTCTCAGCAGACACCCTACTAGAAGGGACTGGGACCCTATCTTTAGCCTCCTAAAAGAAAATAATTATCAGCCAGGAATTTTGTATTCAGTGAAACTAAGCTTCATAAGTGAAAAAAAGATACAGTCTTTTTCAGACAAACAAATACTGAGAGAATTCACCACTACCAAGCCAGCACTGTAAGAACTGCTAAAAGGAGTTCTATATCTTGAAAACACATTTTCGCAATACACCAAAATAGAACCTCCTTAAAGCATAAATCTCACAGGACCGATAAAACAAAAACAATGAAAAAATAAAAAGGTATTCAGGCAACAAACCGCATAAGGAATAGAATAGCATGTATCTCAATATTAATGTTGAATGTAAATAACATAAATGCTCCACTTAAAAGACACAGAATGGCAGAATGAAAAAGAATTCACCAACCAACCATCTGCTGTTCTCAGGAGACTCACCTAATGCATAAGAACTCATGTAAACTTAAGGTAAAGGGGTGGAAAAAGATATTCCATGCAAATGGGCACCAAAAGCAAGGAGGAGTAGCTATTCTTATATCAGACAAAACAAACTTTAAAACAACAGCAGTTAAAAAGGACAAAGAGGGACATTATACAATGATAAAAAAAACTTGTCCAAAAGGAAAATATCACAATCCTAAACATACATGCACCCAACACTGGAGCTCCCAAATTTACAAAACAATTACTACTAGACCTAAGAAATGAGATAGACAGCAACACAATAATAGTGGGGGACTTCAACACTCCACTGACAGCAATAGACAGGTCAGCAAGATAAAAAGTTAATAAAGCCACAGGACATACTAACCAGCAACTATAGAATATACATTCTATGCATCAGCACGTGTAACATTCATTCTCCAAGACAGACCATATGATAAGCCATAAAACAGGTCTCAATAAATTGAAGAAAATTGAAATTATATCAAGTATTCTCTCAGATCAAAGTGGAATAAAACTGAAAATCCACTCCAAAAGGAACTCTCAAAACCATGGAAATACATTGAAATTAAATAACCTGCTCCTGAATGAGTGTTGGGTGAACAATAAAATCAAGATGGAAATTTAAAAATTATTTGAAGTATAATAGTGACAAAACCTATCAAAACCTCTGGGATACCACAAAGGCAGTGGTAAGAGGAAAATTCATAGACTTAAATGCCCAAATCAAAAAGTCTAAAAGGGCACAAATAGACAATTGTCGATTTTAGGTCTTTCTTGCTCACATCAAAAAGTCTAAAAGGGCACAAATAGACAATTGTTGATTTTAGATCTTTCCCATTTTCTCCTGTGGGCATTTAGTGCTATAAATTTCCCTCTAAACACTGCCCTAGCTGTGTCCCAGAGATTCTGGTATGCTGTGTCTTTGCTCTCCTTCATTTCAAAGAACTTATTTCTGCCTTAATTTTCTTATTTACCCAGTAGTCATTCAGGAGCAGGTTGTTCAGTTTCCACGTAATTGGGCAGTTTTGAGTGAGTTTCTTAATCCTGAGTTCTAATTTGATTGCACTGCGGTCTAAGAGAGGGTTTGTTATGATTTCTGATCTTTTGCATTTGCTGAGGAGTGTTTTACTTCCAATTATGTGGTCGATTTTAGAATAAGTGCTATGCGGTGCTGAGAAAAATGTATATTCTGTTGATTTGGGGTGAAGAGTTCTGTAGATGTCTATCAGGTCTGCTTGGTCCAGAGCTGAGTTCAAGTCCTGAATATCCCTGTTAATTTTCTGTCTTGTTGATCTGTCTAATATTGACAGTGGGGCATCAAAGTCTCCCACAATTATTGTGTGGGAGTCTAAGTCCCTTGGTAGGTCTCTAAGAACTTGCTTTATGAATCTGGGTGCTCCTGTATTGGGTGCATATATACCTAGGATAGTTGGCTCTTCTCGTTGCATTGATCCCTTTACATTATGTAATGCCCCTCTTTGTCTCTTCTAATCTTTGTTGGTTTAAAGTCTGTTTTATCAGAGACTAGAGACTAGGATTCCAACCCCCCCCCCCACCTTTTTTTTTTTTTTTTTTTTTGCTTTCCATTTGCTTGGTAAATAGTCCTCCATCCTTTGTTTTGAGCCTATGTTTGTCTTTGCACGTGAGATGGGTCTCCTGAATACAGCACACCAATGGGTCTTGACTCTATCCAATTTGCCAGTCTGTGCCTTTTAATTGGGGCATTTAGCCCATTTACATTTGAGGTTAATATTGTTATGTGTGAATTTGATCCTATCATTATGATGCTAGCTGGTTATTTTGTCCATTTGTTGATGCAGTTTCTCCATAGTGTTGATGGTCTTTACATTTTGGTTTGTTTTTGCAGTGGCTGGTACCGGTTTCTCCTTTCCATATTTAGTGCTTCCTTCAGGACCTCTTGTAAGGCAAAATCCTCAGTATTTGCTTGTCTGTAAAGGGTTTCATTTCTCCTTCATTTTTGAAGCTTAGTTTGGCTGGATATGGAATTCTGGGTTGAAAATTCTTTCCTTTAAGAATGTTGAATATTGGCCCCCACTCTCTTCTGGCATGTAGGGTTTCTGCAGAGAGGTCTGTTGTTAGTCTGATAGGCTTCCCTTTGTGGGTAAACCAACCTTTCTCTCTGGCTGCCCTTCACATTTTTTCCTTCATTTCAACCTTGGTGAATCTGACGATTATGTGTCTTGGGGTTGGTCTTCTTGAGGAGTATCTTTGCAGTGTTCTCTGTATTTCCTGAATTTGAATGTTGGCCTGTCTTGCTAGGTTGGGGAAGTTCTCCCGGATAATATCCTGATGAGTGTTTTCCAACTTGGTTCCATTCTCCCCGTCCCTTACAGGTACACCAATCAAATGTAGATTTGGTCTGTTCACATAGTCCCATATTTCTTGAAGTCTTTGTTCATTACTTTTCATTCTTTTTTCTCTAATCTTGTCTTCACACTTGATTTCATTAAGTTGATCTTCAATCACTGATATACTTTCTTCCACTTGATTGATTTGACTATTGATACTTGTGTATGCTTCCTTCATGAAGTTCTTGTGCTGTTTTTCAGCTCCATCACATCATTTGTGTTCTTATCTAAACCGGTTATTCTAGTTAGCAACTCCTCTAATTTTTATCAAGGTTCCTAACTTCTTTGCATTGGGTTAGAACACGCTCCTTTAGCTCGGAGGAGTTCATTATTATCCACCTTCTGAAGCATACTTCTGTCAATTTGTCAAACTCATTCTCCATCCAGTTTTGTTCTCTTGCTGGCGAGGAGTTGTGATCCTTTGGAGAAGTGGCATTCTGGTTTTTGGAATTTTCAGCCTTTTTGCGCTGGTTTTTCCTCATCTTCGTGGATTTACCTACCTTTGTTCTTTGCTGTTGGTGACCTTTGGATGAAGTTTTTGCGTGGTCATCCTTTTTGTTGATGTTGATGCTATTGCTTTCTGTTTGTTAGTTTTCCTTCTAACAGTCAGGCCCCTCTTCTGCAGGTCTGCTGGTATTTTCTGGGGGTCCACTCCAAACCCCGTTTGCCTGGGTATCACCAGCAGAGGCTGCAGAACAGCAAAGATTGCTGCCTGTTCCTTCCTCTGGAAGCCTCATCCCAGAGTGGCACCTGCCAGATGCCAGCCAGAGCTCTCCCGTGTGAGGTACCTGTCGACCCCTGCTGGAAGGTGTCTCCCCATCAGGAGGCACGGGGGTCAGGGACCCACTTGTGGAGGCAGTCTGTCCCTTAGCAGAGCTCGAGTGCTGTGCTGGGAAATCTGCTGCTCTCTTCAGAGTCAGCAGGCAGGAACGTTTAAGTCTGCTGAAGCTGTACCCACAGCCGCCCCTTCCCCCAGGTGCTCTGTCCCAGGGAGATGGGAGTTTTATCTATAAGCCCCTAACTGAGGCTGCTGCCTTTCTTTCAGAGATGCCCTGCCAGAGAGGAGGAATCTAGAGAGACAGTCTGGCTACAGCGGCTTTGTGGCACTGCAGTAGGCTCCACCCAGTTTGAACTTCCTGGCAGCTTTGTTTATACTGTGAAGGGAAAACCACCTACTCAAGCCTCAGTAATGGTGAACACCCCTCCCCCCACCAAGCAACAGCATCCCAGGTCGACCTCAGACTGCCATGCTGGCTGTGAGAATTTCAAGCCAGTGGATCTTAGCTTGCTGGGTTCCATGGGAATGGGATCCGCTGAGCAAGACCTCTTGGCTCCCTGGCTTCAGCCCCCTTTCCAGGGGAGTGAACAGTTCTGTCTCGCTGGCATTCCAGGCACCACTGGGATACAGGGAAAAAAAAAACAAAAAACAAAAACCTGCAGCTAGCTGGGTGTCTGCCCAAACGGTTGCCCAGTTTTGTGCTTGAAACCCAGGGCGCTTGTGGTGTAGGCCCCTGATGGAATCTCCTGGTCTGTGAAGACTGTGGGAAAGGTATAGTGGCTGAGCTGGAATGCACTGTTCCTCATGGCACAGTCCCTCACAGCTTCCCTTCGCTAGGGGAGGGAGCTCCCCAACCCCTTGCACTTCCGGGGTGAGGTGACGCCCCACCCTCCTTCTGCTCGCCCTCCGTGGGCTGTACCCACATCTAACCAGTCCCAATGAGATGAACCAGGTACCTCAGTTGGAAATGCAGAAATCACCCACCTTCTGCATTGATCTCGCTGGGAGCTGCAGACCAGAGCTGTTCTTATTCGGCCATCTTGCCCTGGAATCGCCTTTTGAATTTTTATAAAGTAGAAGTCTCCACTGAGTACTTCCAAGTACTCAATACTGAGTTCATGTCCAAGTATAGTTATGAAATATTGAGCCCTTGCCTCTTCATCCATCAGAACGGGATATTATTACCAGCTGAACACAACTTTTGCTGCTGAAACTAGTGTTGAACTAAAAAACTGTCCAATTAAAAAATGCATACACATATACACACCTTAAACACACACATACACACACACATATATATACGTGAGTATATATTTACGTATGTATACACATACACACACACACACAGAGTTTTTATGGTTATGTGAGCTAGCAAAATAATGCCAAAATAAGCTTTATCTGTGGGAAATTATCTACTGTTGTCAGTTTTCAAAACCTTTTGAATATGTACTTACTCCCTGCAAGTTCAATAGTCAACTGCTTTAAAGCTTACTTAAAATGCAATTTCAGATATGTGTCAGGTCCAATTCATATGGAACACCCAAATGTTTCATTTTTTAAGTAATGTTAAACTGCCTTGCAACTCACATCTGTCATTAATCCTTCCTGTAATTTTGATTACTAAAGCAATTCTAAAAATAATAGAAACTACTCATTAGAGCTCAATAATCTTTGCACCAAAATGTCTTTGAAATAGCAATATAAATTAAAAGCAGCTGATCACCAAATAGCAAATCCAATATTGCAAAAAGTGGATTGGCCGATATTATCCCCAAACTCACAGTGTATGCATTTGTATGAGGCTTATGAGATGAAAGACATAAGCAAAGAAAGAAGAGAGGAAATGAAGGGCTGTGGGGCCACAAATCTTCCTTGAATCTCCCCTGAAGGAAAGCAGCCATAGCTAAGTGATTAGGTTTTAAAGGGTTTCTCAAAATTCAAACTAATAGGGAAGTGGAAACATCAACCAAACTTTAATTAAAATGCTAAGTGACTGCTGCATGTGGGAGAGACTGAGAAAATTGACACCCAAACACATTCTAATCAGAAATTCAATGTTCCAAATTTTCCACTCTTAGAAAGTTGGAAACCTAGTATGTAGGACAATATTATCAACTACATTTTGATCTTCCTTCTTCACTTGCCCAATAAAGGTACCAAAAACAAAGCCTATGATTTTTCTCTGAGCTAAAAACAATAAAATTGGCTGGTATGAACCCAAGATTAAAAAGCAGCACTCAGCTGAAAGTATCAAGTTTCATAATGATTATCATTAGTAACTGCAAATTCAGCCAGTTTAACAATCTTAAGGGTTTTCATATATCATGGTACAGGGTTTTTGCTTTTTCTAAACACAATTGTTAAGGTACAATTGACATAATACACTGCACATATTTTAAGTGTATAATTTGCCAAATTTTGATATATGTATATACCCATGAAACATGACACCATCTCTACAATCATGATAATGAGCATATCCATCACCCCCACACATTTCATCAGGCTTAGTGTTTGCTTTCTTAATAACTAAAACTTTGGGTGTTTTTTTTTTCATATAACTACCCAAATAAATACAGCACTACTGTACTAATAAGTATGTTCTATAGCATGTCAAAGGTTCATAATTATTCATTCGTGAGTAGCAGGGACTAGGGCTTATAAGAGTATCTGAGAAATAAAAAGTGTTCTCGTTAAACTACGGAATGGAAATTCAATTTCACAGTATTTTAAAGCAATAAAGGTCACACAATATTAACTGCTTATTTTTGATACTACATAACATTATTTATACAATGCACAATTAGTGGAAGTAAACTACTTTTAGAACTCTGGTGCCAACAATGTTTATTTCCCACATAGATGTACAAATTACTCTTAATTAAATTTACAAATTACTCTTTCCAAAAACCAAGCTTAGGAATAACTGACCAAGAAACTATTACTAACATAAGGGTTGCTTGTCTCTCATGTTGACTTGTAAGTCATGCACATCACTCAAAGTGCACTATTTAAACATGGATGTTATGGCAACTAAGCTTTTTTCCCCAGGAAAATCAGTTGAAGAGTAATAAATTGATCCAGAAACTAATTTTAACTTGAGAATTTTCCCCCTTCTCATTTCTTTTAAATTTAAGTCATATACATATCTCATTTCAAGTTACTTAAGGGTGGATGATATCACAACTAAAATTTTCAGTTCAAAATAGGTATAAAGTTGGGTGCTGGCCAAAATTGCCTATATTACTCTTGAGAGACATTCATGCGTCAAAAAGGAACCAGATCGGTTTAGAAGGAAAGGACTGAGTAAAACAGATGCCTCCCTCAACTGATCCAGTTAAAGTAAGCAATGGTAAAAGGGAACTGCCTGCTGTCTGCCAGGAAGAGAGCTGGGCTGCCGGATGCACCAAAAGTTGTTGGAGGAAATATTCTCCCCAAAAGGCTGCTTGTGTAGAAACAACAGCAAGAAGGGCTAGTTACAGATTATACTTGAGGGTGTTGTGCTTGTTTTGGGGTCAGGAAATTAAAGTTAGCTGACTGAATATTCTAATATTCATCAACCATTAAGAATTCTGGATTTGGTTATTGAGGTTCCTCTGGACTCTATTAAAAATCAGCTCACTTTTTATTATAAAACATCTCGATGAAAAAAGCCCTTTTAGGGGAAGGAAAAAAAACCTACAAGGTAGACTACACCCATCAAATTTTGCTCTTGCATTTTTTGCACTCATCCTAAAATACTTTATTTATTGAATAAATGAGATACAATAACTTAATAGGCTTAACACAAAAATCTTGCACTTTAAAAATTTTAGGAAGTCAACAATGACAATGTAAAGGGATCAGCATATCCAATTACATTTATTATTACTATTATTTACTAGAATAGCTTAGATATTCCCCTATCTCATACATTTAAATGAAGAATGCTATTCCATATTTCATGGGATGTCATTCAGTGTTAGCCAAACCATTAGCTTCCCTACTCACAAATCCACCAGAACAACACATTGAAAGAACAGAGTGGAATGATAAATTTAAATAAGTCTGAAAATCTAACAAGTATACTATTGTAATTTGAATATACTTTTACTGCTGACACTAATACGGCTGTAATATTTTAAATACATCACTTTTGTTTTCTTTCAAACAACAGTAATGTAAGAAAAAAGAATTATTTTTAAGAAGAATTTTTGAGTATTGTTGCCTTCTTCCTAACTGTTGTCTTCTTCCTAAATGTTTCTTGGCAATTCAGTCTTAAAAGGAGGCTTTTTTGGCCCCCTGCCTAAGCCAAAAAGAAACTGAGGGTTTCCCTGCAGCCTACTCATTCTAATATTTTATTAGTCATTTCTGATCTGTAAATATTAAAAACCAGATAGAAAGCACACGGATTCTTTTATGCTAACACATGCAGCAAAGCGGCCTTAGGAAAGTCATTTATCTCAGAATATTGACTTCATTACCATGATTGAAACTAATCAAAGTAACTATGTGCCCTTGCATTTTCTTCTCTCCTTATCCATTCCATCTCCCAAACTTTAAATATAAGATGGCCAGAAGCTCAGAGGCTTGACCTTATTGTGTGCAGAGAACTGACAAAGCCCAAAGTGAAGTCCAAGTTCAAATGTACTCTTTCTATATTTACCTAGAGGAACCTAAGCACAAGATTCCGAGAATCTGAACTGTTTTTAATATTAATTTTAGTATTAAAATTTTTAATATTTTAATATGCTTTCATGTTATACTTTCTCTTAAAAGATAAGCAGGAAGATTTTTTTTTTAACTGTGAGAAACTGAAAGAAACTGTGTTTTGAGGTCTGGCAAGGCAAAATAGAAAGAAATCATTAGTTTCTTCCAAATTGTTTTCATAACTCTCCACGGCGTAAACCACTGAATCCTATTAAATTAACTCGTCCCACTCAATAAACCCACTATCCCATCACAGATAACCACTGGAGAGAACTCCTAGACATAATATAGAAATAGTAGCTTTAATAAGAATACATAGATTGAGTTCAAAGTTGGACTCATTAAATCTATTGATGTTTTGTTTAAAATGACTCAAAATTGAAAGTAAAGATATGTTAAAATGATTAAATAAATCAGACAGAAATATCCATAAATAGGTATTAGTAGGTACAATATATAAATATTAGCTTTGCTAAAGGTGATCAGCTATTAAATGGCAGAAATTACAGTCACAATCTGAATTATTGAAAGTGTATTTTTAATATTACAAAAACCCACACATTTTAGTAAGAATTATTATTCCTGCTGGGCATGGTGGCTCACGCCTGTAATCCCAGCACTTTGGGAGACCAAGGCAGGTGGACCACGAGGTTAAGAGTTTGAGACTAGCCTGGCCAAGATGGTGAAACCTTGTCTCTACTAAATATACAAAAATTAGCTGGGCGTGGTGGTGGGTGCCTGTAATCCCAGCTATGCAGGAGGCTGAGGTAGGAGAATTGCTTGAAACTGGGAGATGGAGGCTGCAGTGAGCTGAGATCACACCACTGCACTCCAGCCTGGCAACAGAGCAAGACTCCGTCTCAAAAAAAAAAAAAATGGATGAAGTTCTTTTTATCTAATTACTACAGTGCAAATGTAGCTGTAACTCACAAAAAATGCTTCCATTGAATGACACAGAATGCCTGTCATTTCTCAGTGACCGAAGCTTGCATTCCTTAGTTTTTCAGTTATGCTACTGACAGGAAGAAAATGCTGAACCAGTCATCACATCAAATCGCTGAGGACGCTAAAAGGCACAATAGTCTTCTACTTCAAAGAAGGCACTAGAATCTAGATATCCAACAAGTGGCCGTTAAATGACAAGAAAGCCATAGACTATTATGCAGGTGTTAAAAATGATGCTTTTAAAGAGTATTTACTAACATGGGAAAATGCTTATATTTTCCTGCTTTAAAAAAGCATGTGAGATTGTATATACACTGAACTCTATTCCATTTTAGTGCCATTCACACTGAATGCAACTCTTCTCCCATCCCTTTGCCTAGTACAAGGATCCTCAAAATGCAGTCCTCTAAGATGTAGTAACAGCTGTTAGAAATGCAAATTGTCAGGCCCCTCCTACCAGACCTGCTAAATCAGAAACCTCTGGGGTAGGGGGGAGCCAAGCAATCTGTTTTAATAAGCTCTCCAGACAACTCTGATGCTCAACAAATTGTGAAAACCACTGGCTACTTCTTAATAATTCTTCAGATTTCAGCTCACAGTTCTCAGGGAAGCCTTGCCTCACCCAACCTTCCATCCTGCAAGCAAAGATGAGTTTATTGTACCTCACAAGAACCAAGATTTTTCTTTCACAAGTTATTGCAGCTAAAATTATTTATGATTATGTAAGTAGAGTTTTTATCTCCAGTTGAGATATTTCAAGTCTAGTGACACATATGAATCACCTGGAAGTTCTCAAAAATCCTTGGCCATACCCCAGACCAAACAGAATTCACTGGAGTATGACTCAAGCATCTGTACTTTCTAAATATTGTGATTCCACTGTTTGGCCAAGGTTAAGAATCACTGTACCAGACTCAAGCTCCAGATGACCAGTAAACGGTGACCAGTATTTGTTGAATGAATATGTGGGTTTTTTCACTTTATTTTATAGGTTTTGTTTTGTTTCAGTCTTGCACATGATACAAAATTCCAAATGCACAGAAAGGGTTCAGTGAAAAGTGAAGTCTCCTTCTCTTCCTATCTCCTCTCAGAGGCAATGACTAGGACCAATGCCATGTTTCGTTAAAAGACTGAATATTTGTCAGTGCATACAGAAAAGACCACAGGTTGGATGGCAGGATTATAGATTATTTTACTGCTTCTTTATGCACATCTGAACTTTTTATAAAGTGTATACACATTACTTTCAATATTGGGAAAGGAGGTACCCTATGAATATTTGTATGGGGGTGCATCCAGAGCTATTTAGTAGATAAACACTGGGTCTTAGGGCTCCCACAACAATAGCCACTTAGAATGTACATACAGCTGTTCCATTTTGTCAAGTTCTTAGAAGAGACCTTTTACCTGGTTTAAGCGAGTAATTGCCCAATTATTCCACCTGCTTATTTTGGTTATATTTTCACTTCTCATTAGATATACAGCTTCTCCAGAACTTCTACCAGAAAATGGTGGGAGGGTGCACAAAGGAGGAGGTACTGTTCATCCTAGGAACCAGATTAAGAAGTGGAATCATGGTTTATAGATCTATCTTGTCTTGATTTAGTTAATATAAGCTCCTCTCCAAGACTGACCATCTCTGGGTGTATGAATATGAAAAGCTGAGGCCTGGACCCCAGGGTGGTGGCTGAACCCCTGAGCCCTTTTGACTCCATGCCAGTTAGTGAGTCTGTCTCAATACAGTACTTTGGAACAGGGCTGGACGTCTGAGATTTCTATAAGTAGAAACTGGAGTATGGAGAGCTTTACAACAATGGACCCAGACTTTTTTGGCTTTTGGGGTTTTTTAATTATCTTTTTCTTACTTTCTACCTCCCTTACTCTTATGGTCTAAGACCACTCCCCTCTGTTGTCAGTATGACTCATTCTAGCATCAACTCTTGGCCCCCTATCTTCCATTTTGTTTCCATAACTGGGTAGAAAATCAGCTTGCTAGGACTTTTAAAAATCTACTCTAATGTAGACCCAAGAGCTCTCTGAGGAGGCAAGAGCCTGGACTTGAGGGCCATTTCTTTAAGGACTTGTAGGCCTTTTACTATTTAACTCCTGATCCTTATCTCAGGCAGACATATGAGATAGAGGGGGAAAAAATGCCTTCTGTAGAGATAAAGCATTTCCTTGTTACCATTTTTCCCATATTTAGACAAAGACCAAGGTGTACGATCACAGTTAAGGGGTAAAATATTTGGATACGCACTTGGATAGGACCAAGGGGAAAATACACATAAGTTAGATAGTACACAGAAACAAGTAAGATAATATTGAGTTGGAAAGGGAGTAGCCACTCCAACATCTCCGAGTGCAACCTGCCACACAGATACTTAAGCATTGTCTTGTACTGTATACTAGTTGTTTTATGTGTGTTGATATAGTCTTCCGGACTGGAAGCACCTGAAGGCTAGGCCTTATCTCCTACTGCTTCAGTTTCCTCTCTCGTGCTGAGTCCAAAGCAAAGGTCTAATATTTAAATTGTGGCCGGGCGCGGTGGCTCACGCCTGTAATCCCAGCACTTTGGGAGGCCCAGGCAAGTGGATCACAAGGTCAGGAGATCGAGACCACGGTGAAACCCCATCTCTACTAAAAATACAAAAAATTAGCCGGGTGTGGTGGCGGGCGCCTGTAGTCCCAGCTACTCGGGAGGCTGAGGCAGGAGAATGGCGTGAAGCCGGGAGGCGGAGCTTGCAGTGAGCCAAGATCGCGCCACTGCACTCCAGCCTGGGTGACAAATCGAGACTCCGACTCAAAAAAAAAAAATTTAAATTGTATTAAATACTTCATAGTTGACAGACTAAAACAGACAACAGCATAAAATCAACTCTGCATAGTAAGATCACTATATCTTAAATGTGATAAATTTTTTAAAAATCATTATAACCAACATTCTATGCTGATAAGATGAATGTTGAAATTCACTGTAGCTGTGGCCATGATTAATTACAAGTTTAATCATGTATTTTAGGGTAAACCTATTTCCTTAATATCTCTTTTCTATTAAATTACATGCACTATGCTAATGTTAAGGGCCAAAGTAATTTCTGGGCTGATCAAATCTTTTGGGTTTGATTTTTTGAAAAGATACTTTGACAATTTAACAATACTATAAAATAAAATGAATAAGAACTAGCACAATCTTTTTAGGACTATGACAACATAATTAGACTAGAGTGTCTATAATTATGAAAGAAAATATTCTCAAATATTGTTTTATGAATTTCATGATGCATAATAAAGGAAAAACCTCTATCTCATTCACCATACATTTTAACAGTTTAATTTTATTCTACTGTGATAATGAAAAAAGGGATGCCCAATATTTATGCCAGGAAGAAAACTCTCCAAACATGCATCAAGCAAGTGTAATGTCTGTACTGTAGGTTTTATTTTAATCTCACAGCTAATTCAGAAAGTGAATAAAAATGTAAAGGAATATGGTATTTACATTGTAATTAAAGGTCACCCTGTATGCAAAATGTCAATGGTAAAGTGATGCCCCCAAGTGGCATAATGATAAATTGCAATACTTTGACGGAAAAGTTAAGTACTATGTACATACAGCTGTTCCATTTTGTCAAGTTCTTTGATTAAATATAGAAATGTATATAATGAATCTGTATTTCATAGAAACTAGTCATAAGTCCTACAAACTTATTGTCATTCCTTTAACACTGATACCAAGGGATAGTCTGATACCTTCCTTATGAGCTCAAAAAGTTAAGGGTGTATCTGCAAAACAAAAAGGGAAGTCATATCTATTCTGATGTGTTGAAGGAATAGCATTCATACCATTATAGAAGTCTGTATAAAGTATTCATCTTCTAGCCACCTCTAACATTAACCAATTCCTTATGTTTGTGGTCTAGTATGTAAAGCATAATTTAAAACCTTATCTAGTCAAATTGCTTGGACAATGAGTAGTGCTAATAATGTGCTTTGCTCACAAACTAATGGTTCAGTATCAACACAAAAAAAAAAGAGTTTAGTTTCCTGCCTCATATATGCATTAAACATAACAATCACTGATGAATTGATATCTTAGCTAAAAGGTTCACATTCTGAGAACCAATTTATTTTGGACAGCCACAGAGATATAAAAGATGACAACAGAATTGTTACAATCTCAAGACACATCTTGAATAAGTTTTTTAAATTACATGCCTGGTTTCAGATTGGTTTATTTGGGAAATTTTTCTCATTTAAAAGTAATCCAGAAAAACCTTCCATTTATTAGAAGTTTCCAATTGCAGTCATTGGGTGGTAATTAGCTAAAGTTTTCTTAGGCTTCCTTTAATTATTCTTTTAACTTGGATTGTTTATAATTAAGGTGAATCTGTGCTGTTTTTGAGGAATAATTATGAGCAAGGCAATGTGACATCTAAATCTTATATAAATAGGCAGATATCGTATTCTTATTACAATCCTATGAGGTATTATACTCATTTTAAAGATAAGAAAACCAAAGCTCAGATTAGGAATGTACAGAATGTAGACTTCACATTAAGAACAGGCCTGGCTTTACTTTTTGTTCACATCCAAAGCTGGGATTTTAACAATGACACCATACTGCTCTGTTTCTATTACAGCATTCTAGAATTTTGTGAGTAGTCACATTCATACTTTTTTCTGATTTTAGCAAATAATTCCAAAAGCAATTGTCTACAAAGGTCGGCACGTAGTGGAAAGGTGTGATGCAGCTGTATGCCAGAGACAGTAAGGAGAGGTAGGAATGTGGCTAACTGGAGAATATGGAATTTGTCTAAGGGAGTAGCTGCTGCCTAGCTTTAGCAGTCCATTGTGGCTACACAGGAACTGATGTTAGCAAACGTTCCCAAATCTTTTTTTTCTAGAAAAGATGAAATGCTCAATTTATATGAGCTGCTCATTTAAAAATACTGACTACTGGCCAGGCGCGATGGCTCACGCCTGTAATCTCAGCACTTTGGGAGGCCAAGGCAAGAGGATCACCTGAGGTCAGGAGTTCAAGACCAGCCTGGCCAACATGGTGAAACCCTGTCTCTACTAAAAATACAAAAATTAGCCAGGTGTGGTGGTGCATGCCTGTAATCCCAGCTACTTGGGAGGCTGAGGTGGGAGAATCACTTGAACCTGGGAGGTGGAGGTTGCAGTGAGCCAAGATCGTGCCACTGCACTTCAGCCTGGGAGACAGAGTGAGACTCCGCCTCAAAAAAAAAAAAAAACTGATTAATTTACTAAAAAGAAACACTACCCAGGCCAAACAAAAGACATCTGAAAGCCACATGTGGCCAGTATGCAATATGTTTTAGATTCTGATGATGAATGATTCCTTTCCCAGAGATTGTGGACTAGACCTTCTGGTGCCAAATGATTTTTGTCCGTTATCCTCACCACTGGATTCATTCCACAAACATGTCTGCCATCTTCAGCTCCAGTCATGTGTTTTTTTAAGATTGGTTCAGGTACAAGAAAGATCACTAACAAATCACTTGCCAACCAACCAGCCCCAGCCCCCTTTCTTCTCTCTCATTCTCTTTCTCTCTCTCTTCCCCGCTGACTACAAACACACTCTCTCCACTCACTTATTATCTTAAGTCTAAAGGTTTCAAGTTTGATCTTCATACATCTTATTTTACATCCTTTTAATTAACTTTTTAGTCCTCCTGTGAATTATCTTAAAATTTTTCATATTCCTCATTAGTTGAAGAAACCAAAATTGGATATGATCCTACAGTGTAGTTTTTAGAAGTACTGGGTCTGGTTTAGGTCTTACTCTCAATGTTTCCATAAAGGTTATCTAATAATTGTCAGAAATTTATCATTCTATTCTAAATGGCTAGAAGAGCACCTCTAGGATTAAAGAGAAAAAATCCTTTTCAGCAGGAATCATAATGCATGTTCTAAGGACATCAGAAAAATGCCAGCTCTTTTATCATCCCTCATGTAGAAATTGACTAAAAACTATAAATTCTAGATAATTACAGCTTTTAAAAATTCTGGACAGAGACCATTTAAAAGATTGAGTTTTAAAACAAAGTAGTAACATCACTAACATTTACCTTTACAATTCCTATGACCTATGAAGATGTAGAAAAGTGTTTATCACACTGATTTTAAATCCACTCTTAAATATCCAATAGGCAAAAGCTGGAAGAACTTAGAGTAGCCTTAAAACCTTAGAAGAAAACAATATATTATGGGATGAAAATGTGGTCTTCTGGGGTTAAGGGCTGATATCTTGGATCATTCTTCCTTCTGCTTTCTGTTCCTCCTGTGTTTCTGATAGGCAAGTTTCTTACCCTAACTTCAGTTCCAACTTACTTTCCACTGCAGCAAATTAAAAAAACTTTACACAAAAACTAGAGGTTTATCTGTAAGGGAGGTACTGTCTGAAGCTATTAAGAGTTTTTCTCTACTATGAAAGTGTAGAGGGTCCGATCATAATCAAAAGAGACGAGGTGACAAGGGGGTCATTAACATAAGCTAATTTTAAATAGGAGTGTCCATTTGGTTTAAGTGTTTAATCTGACAGCTTTCTGACTACGGAATTTGAAAATCCTCGCCATGGAAAGCCCAAAGAAAATTAATACTGTTACTTTCTTTGGTATACCCTATTCATCTCAAATGTGAATAATTGTTTATTTGCATTTTGTAACATTTCTAAAAATAGTCATTATGAACAATTCTTATTTTCTCATTCAAGAAGTTCCAATCAAGTTAAGTGGAAGTAATATTGTCACTGAGACTGTGGCATGCCCAAACATCTTATTTTCACATAATCTATCCCATTTCTAGCTCCCTTCTTTAGGTCATTTGGATACTTTATTCACCTGCTGAAATGCCTTTAAACCTAATATGAAAGATTAATTAGGGAGCTTACCTATATTTATGAAATACTTGCTTTGGTATAAAGAGCAAAGTGGACATTACTCCATGTTCTTTTTTTTTTTTTGTCAGTCTTGCTCTGTTGCCCAGGCTGGAGGGCAGTGGCATGATCTCGGCTCACTGCAACCTCCACCTCCTGGGTTTAAGCAATTCTTGTGCCTCAACCTCCAAGTAGCTGAGATCACAGGCATGTACCACCCTGCCTGGCTAATTTTTGTATTTTTAGTAGAGACAGGGTTTTGCCATGTTGGCCAGGCTGGTCTTGAACTCCTCGCCTCAAGTGATCTGCCAACCTTGGCCACCCACAGTGCTGGGATTACAGGCATGAGCCACCATACCTGGCCTGCTCCATGTTCCTAATCAGCTAAGACCTGCAAACAAAAAGCAGCCTACTCAAGATTCATAGGAAGCATTTTTACTTACAATTCCTCTCCTCGTTTGGCTTTCTTGTCTGAAACCAGATAGACAGTTCCAAAACTTCCACTGCCAAGTTTTTGTTGAAGCACGTATCTTCTTGCAATCAAGGTCTTTGGATAAGTGGAAATGGCTGTTGATCCACTCACACACTTAGCTGCCTCTTGGAATTTCAGCATTGCTCCAAACAAGAGAGAACTGGTTCATTCATTTATAGAAACTTAACATTCCAGTCTCCTAAGAAATGGTCAAATTCATCCAGTGTTGGTCAGTTCCTTAAAGATGAAAAGTTAAAAGATCAGGTCTAAAGGTTGCTAAACGATGTCTAACAAAAAGTGTTAAGTGCAGTGATATCTGCACCTTGATCAGCAGACTGACACCATATTGGTTAACAACTTGAAAAAAAATGTTAAAAGGTAGAGATACCACAAATTCCAGAAGGCAATCTTTCACAGGAAGAGCCTCCCTTTGTACATTGAAATTTGGCAGAAGTGAATTATAGCCAACTTTCCACAAATTTCTGGGATGTACATCTGTTTTACAATGAGCAATCTCTTCATTTATTTAAGATTTATACTCCCCAACTACTTATAAAAGAATCCAAATACAAGAACATTATCACCTCCTTAAATCTATACATCTGCATCAACCTTTTTGTAATGCCCTCTTCTCACCTTATATTTACTTTGGTTTACAAAGAGTGAGTTAGGATTAAACAAGGAATTAGCAGGTGCTGTTTCCTTTAGATTTATTTTTTTCTGTAGATGTTAAACCACAGTTTTTGTATTTATTAGGACAGATGCAAAGAAGGATAAGGATTGAGAATTTTTTCCCATGCTCAGCAAATTCTAGTTTCTGAAGTTCCTATTGTACACATTGTGTATAATCTCTCTGGATTAAAAACAGGAAGAGTTACAAATTCAATTCAAACCTAAAATCCCATTTAATGTCAGTGGAATATAAATGCTACAGATAAATCTGTAATTCCTCAGGGAGCTATGAGACGTGGCAGTTATGAAAGGCAGGACTGTTTAGGCCGGGCGCAGTGGCTCACGCCTGTAGTACCAGCACTTTGGGAGGCCAAGGCGGGCGGATCACGAGGTCAGGAGATCGAGACCATCCTGGCTAACACGGTGAAACCCCGTCTAATACAAAAAAATTAGCCGGGCATTGTAGCGGGCGCCTGCAGTCCCAGCTACTCGGGAGGCTGAGGCAGGAGAATAGCGTGAACCCAGGAGGCGGAGCTTGCAGTGAGATCTCGCCACTGCACTCCAGCCTGGGCGACAGAGTAAGACTCCATCTCAACAAAAACAAAAACAAAAACAAAAACAAAAAAAAGAAAGGCAGGACTGTTTCATATGAGTAGGTACAAAGTAAAATCACTTTTATTTCATCAGAATGTTAAATGTTTTGTTAGTTATCAAGAAAAGTGTGCTTTTGTTTTAAATCTATATAGAAATAACATTTTAAATTGAAAACTGCCTACACCTTGAAGTTAGGTTTTCATATTCAACAATTCCAAAGCTATGAGACAAAAACCTAGTTTTTAAGGATGGTCAATGGGCTTTACGTGGTGGTGTCCGTCAACCACAAAAACTACTAGGGCAATTAACCACAAAAATCCTCAAAACAGAACATAAGTAAATGCCCATTTACAACATTTTCCTTCTTAAAATGTATGAATCAGTTAAGTTGTACCTAATACCAGTGAGATTAGTTACCAGCTTTTTCTTTTCCCTTCCAAAGACACGTTAGTAAAATCTGCTGGAAAAACAACTACAGAGCAGGCCTCTAAATATACCTTTTGTTTTTACTTCCCCTTCACTGTCATAAAAGTGATGCCGTCTGGCCATACTAAGCTGTTCAAATAAATATATGGACTTACAGACTTTCCAGCTGAAAAGGGTCCTTCAGGTCACTCAGTAATTCTCCTTATTTTAAAGATGAGATTAAGGTTCCTTTTAGAGAAGGACAGAATTAGGGACGGACAGAATGAGAAGTTCACTTCTAGCGGCTCTTATTTTAAAGGACAGTCTAAACCCAGCAGTGCTTAAGTAGTCTGGTCCAGGCTGCAGAAGACTCTGGGACTAGGTTCCCTCCCGCCCACCCTCACAGACTCAGCCCTGCCACCCCCATCCCAGTCCACTTTTAGGTCATCCATTCCATTAGTCTCCTCTGCGCAACCATAAACCTACCCAAGAATGTGTCGCATTGTCTAGATTCTAGAACTATCTGTTCACTTGACAACACGCTCCCCCTCGAGGTTTGAGTGAACTTGGGCACTGCGAACACATCTTCTTTATTTCTGCATCCCCAATCCCTGGCATACCTCCTGGCATATACTAGGTGTTTAACAAACCTTGTTAAGGCAAGTAAGTGTCCAGCAGATCAACTGCCGCCCAAAGGAGAGAAAAAAGGTTAGTTAAGAAAGCTAGATGGGAACTTGGAGAAAGTTACTACCTTGTGCAAACTACCCGTTCTCGGTGAAACAGATCTGGCTGGGGGCAAAAGACAACGGAAGGAGTATTTATCACAAGTTGAAAACCAGTAGTTATCTTCCCAGGTAATAAGAGGAAGGCAATTTGTCACCAGTTTCTGCTACAGCACAAATCTACCTTTAAAGTAAATCTTAACCTTAAGGTAAAACGAACAATTCCTTGCTTCTTCACCTTTTTAAACATTTACATTTTGGCAAAGCAGGTTAACGTTTATTGAGGGGCACTGAGACTGGAGTACATCCGGAGGTAAGATGTCCAGGAAAGCGAGGAGATCGCAGCCATGGCGTCCTAGAGATTCGGAACCCAGCCCGGGCAGCTTGAAACCATTACCTTCCCCCTCGCAGGGGAGCCTGGCTAGCCCCAAGGAGGACAGTTCGCTTTACCTTTCCCTGTCGTGGTCGGAGCGGCGCCCGGGGCTGCCCAAGTCTTGCGGGTAATCGGGCAGGCCTCAAACTAGGGGCAACCACACCCACCGAGCGCCAGACACCGCGGGCCACGGCTGTTTGGAACCGTGGCCAGGGAGACGGCGCGGGGCATACTGGGAAGTCGGGGCGAGGCGGCACCAAGGCGGAAGTGTTCGCCGACCCAAGTAGGCGGAGAAAGCAGAGGAGGACCGGCGGGCCAAGCTTTCCTAGCCTGACAGCAGCCATTTCGGAACGTACGTCCCAGCCCTCTTTAGCTACTTAGCGCCTCTGGGCCCGAGAACACCTGCTCCTTGGCTCAGTCTGGCGCCACCGGCATCACGGAACTGTACTTCCCAGAGACGTCACACCGGGAGACTTCCGATTCCCGCTCTTGAGATTGGACTCTCACGTGCAGGAGCCAGTCCTCGCTGGGCTCTAGCGGGCTTCTGATGGAGGAGCTACTCCTCTGGGAGGACAGAGTAGGTGGGCTCTGCTGCAGGTCCGGGCGGCGGGTTGTGAGGGCCGAGGTGGCACGGTGTATGAAGGCCTGTGTTTGAAGACTTAGGTCAGACCTTTTGCCCGCCTTTCCCCTATGCAGCTCTATGCAACTGTCTGTGCAAGGTCCTGTAATTTGCGTAGGACGCCTTGACACAGTCTCTGCTTATGGACGCTTTACAAAACTATCTTGCAAAGAAATAAGTACTATACAGGATAAGGTTCTGAGATACTGACAGGGCTGGAACTAGGGTGAGATAAGTGTAAAATGTAAATGGATGCCAATAAAATTCAGTAATCAAGGTAAGTTTTAATGCAATCTCTAAAAATCAAAATTATAGCAAAAAAAATCCATGACTGACAAAATGTCACGATTTTAAGTAATAGTAACAGTACCGTGCTGTGCCATATTGAAGCCCGAGGTGTCAAAAGAAAAACCATCAATTCTGATCCTGCGAGTTAAGTTAGCCAGGTGAGGAAGCGTAGCTGGGCCAGATATGCAAAATAAGATGATGAAAAGAGCTCGTGGTTAGGGGTGTAACTGGATAGAGGGGTTCCTAGAGGCATGAAGCAGTTTTCCTTATACCAAAAACTATGCCAATTAAGAAGGGCCCACAAATCCAAAGCCTGAAAGAAGTTCCGTGACTGATTGTCAATACAAAAGAAAAACTTGATCCTTATCATAGGTCCTACACACCTTACTTTACTGAAGCCCAAATGCTTTGTGATTATGAGATGAATATGATATCTTTTTTTTAGCTTAGGACTTTTTACTTTGACCCCACAAAACAAATACTCTGTGCTGTAAGATGTTGACTATTACCACTTAAGAATCAAAGTTCACAGAACTTCTATACTGGTGTGTCAGTAATGGACTTCAACTGATTTTTCTTTAGAATTAGCAGCAGCCTCTGTCACCATCCAAAGATTACAACCCATGAAACCATTGAATTTGTGCCTTGTATCAGAAAGCAAAGGAGAATGAAAAAGCACAGCTAACATTGCTTGAGGATCTAGGTAAGAATTTATGATGTTGATATCTATGTTCTATCTAAAGAGCACTTCATAACATTTGCTATTGATTTAATGGTGCTGGAAGCAATGACTTGGTGCCCCATAACTAGCATCAATTGAAAATGTTTTCTGTTGTTTTAAACAGGCGATTAATTCTTTAGACTGTCATCATGGGTATCCGAGGACTAATGAGTTTTGTGGAAGATCATAGTAATGAGTTCTTCACTGATTTGAAGTTGCGGGACACAAAAATTGTCATTGATGGTTATGCTCTTTTCCACCGTCTTTGCTTCAGTTCAAACTTGGATCTCCGGTATGGAGGGGACTATGATTCTTTTGCAGATGTTGTACAAAAATTCTTTGAATCACTGTTTGCTTGTAATATATGCCCATATGTTGTATTAGATGGAGGATGTGACATTTCAGATAAAAAGCTTACAACTTTAAAGGATAGAGCTAGAGAGAAGATCCAGATGGCCCATTCCCTTTCTGTTGGTGGGAGTGGGTACGTATGTCCCTTACTCATCCGGGAAGTATTCATACAGGTTTTGATCAAGCTGCGGGTGTGTTTTGTCCAGTGCTTTTCAGAAGCAGATCGGGACATTATGACACTTGCTAACCATTGGAATTGCCCTGTGTTATCATCAGATAGTGACTTTTGCATTTTTGACCTGAAAACTGGGTTTTGCCCATTGAATAGCTTTCAGTGGAGAAATATGAACACTATTAAGGGCACACAAAACTATATCCCTGCCAAATGCTTTTCCCTTGATGCATTCTGCCATCACTTCAGCAATATGAATAAAGCTCTACTACCTCTCTTTGCGGTGCTATGTGGAAATGACCATGTTAATCTACCCATCATGGAGACATTCTTAAGTAAAGCGCGTCTTCCTCTTGGAGCTACCAGTTCTAAAGGGAGGAGACACCACCGAATCCTGGGACTTCTGAATTGGTTGTCTCATTTTGCCAACCCTACCGAAGCACTAGATAATGTTCTGAAATACCTCCCAAAAAAGGATCGAGAAAATGTTAAGGAACTTCTCTGCTGTTCCATGGAAGAATACCAACAGTCCCAGGTGAAGCTACAGGACTTCTTCCAGTGTGGTACTTATGTCTGTCCAGATGCCTTGAATCTTGGTTTACCAGAATGGGTATTAGTGGCTTTAGCTAAAGGCCAGCTATCTCCTTTCATCAGTGATGCTTTGGTCCTAAGACGGACCATTCTTCCCACACAGGTGGAAAACATGCAGCAACCAAATGCCCACAGAATATCTCAGCCCATCAGGCAAATCATCTATGGGCTTCTTTTAAATGCCTCACCACATCTGGACAAGACATCCTGGAATGCATTGCCTCCTCAGCCTCTAGCTTTCAGTGAAGTGGAAAGGATTAATAAAAATATCAGAACCTCAATCATTGATGCAGTAGAACTGGCCAAGGATCATTCTGACTTAAGCAGATTGACTGAGGTAAGTATTTGTAATACTAATGAAATTTTTGTAAAGTACTTTACAGGATACAAAGTGCTGTCTTCTATATTAGTTCACTTACTATAACAAACTGATGAGGTTGAGTGCTATCTTGCCCTCATGTCGTAGCTAAGAAATCTAGAACTTGAGTGAACTAGGTAATGTCTTAGCCAGAAAGTGTCAGTGCTAGGACTCAAACCTAGCTCTTTTAGCTCTAAATCTACCATTTCCACTGTACTTCAGTAGTCTGTGTTATCGTCACAGTTATTACTACTATATTGTTATTACTACCAGGTTAATACTAGCTATCAATAGAATGGGTTACGTGGCTGAAAAAAAAAGGAAAAAAATTCACAACTGCAAAAAAAGTGTATAGACACTAATCATAGGCACAACATCTCAGACTACATCGGATTTCAGATAAGGTTAGTACTGATGCTAAGGTCTAATTTTTTAACTTTTATTAATGAATACCTTTTTTAAAATAGGTTTTTGTGTCATTATGGTTATTTGCCTAGTTTGATACAGAAAACATGACTCTTAGTCTAACTTAGTGTTGCTTAAACCTGAGTAACACCCAGACCACCTTTTCAAGGAGAAAAAAATTCTCATGGATCCCAGTGTTGTCTTTTTATATTACATATATATTTAAAATTACAAATAGATATGAAACTATGCTGATAAAAGAACTAGATTTAGACATTAAATAGAGATAACTTAAAAAAAAAACAATTGCAATGCCCATTAGGGGATCTTCTTAGATCCAATGAAATATTCAGTCTCACAAAACTCACAGACCACACGTGGCACCAGTCTACTTAAGGATGTAGGACGGCAACCACAGCTTCCCAGTGGATTTAAGTCAGGTCTTCCTTTTCTGTCAGAGTTCTCCCAGCACTGTTATCAGTCTACACCAAAGCTTTATCACCATTGGTGATTTTGTCCCCCAGAGGACATCTGGCAATGCCTGGAGACATTTTTGTTGTCCCTACCTAGGGAGTAGAAGGGGTAGTGGTTGCTATCGGTATCTAGTGGGGAGAGGCCAAAGATGCTGCTAAATTTTACAACCTGTAAGTCTTACAGTGCACAGGAAAGTGTCCCATAACAAAGAATCTCTAGCCCAAAATATCAGTAGTGCCATTCCCTGGGCTATACAGCTGACCAGGAACTAGCCTCTTAGCCTCCTCTTCAGTCACATCTCAGACAGGAGGAGATGAATGTCATAGTGAATGAGTGCAAGAGCCTTCTTGGCATTGGGCAGTGAGTCCAAGAGCCTTCTTGGCATTGGCGAGTGACTGTTAAACCCCCAGGGTTTCTTTGGTTGGGGGTGAAGAAAATGTTTTGGAATTAGTGATGGCTGCACAAGTTTATAAATATACTAAACCAAGGCAAGATGGCTCATGCCTGTAAGCCCAGCACTTTGGAAGGCCAAAGTGGGAGGATCACTTGAGGCCAGTAGTTCAAGACCAGCCTGGGCAACACAACAAGACTGTCTCTACTAAAAAAAAAAAAAAAAATTTTTTGCCAGGCATGGTGGTACAGCTACTCAAGAGGCTGAGGTTGGAGGATTGCTCGAGCCCAGGAGGTCAAGCCTGTAGTGAGCTATGATTGTGCTCCCTGTTGAGCAAAACCCTGTCTCTAAAAATATATATACACTAAACCCACTGAATTGTATGCTTTAAAAGGATGACTTTTATGACATATGAATTATACCTCAGTTAGATAAAGGAGAAGAAAAGGTTTCAGTAGCTTAAAAGCCCCGTTCCCTATAGGATCCAGTCTTTCTTATAATAATTCCATAAACATAGCTAGGTCCCTGCAAGGGACATCCTACTTACAAGACACTGCACTCAGGGAAGCCCCAAGATATGGTGTCCCCATCAGGTGTTTATAGTTCATTTATATATAGTTTAAGCTTAGATGCAATTTTATAAGTCATTTTTATAATGCTTGGTAACACAACTGACAATCTACCTTTAGCACATTTCCAGGGGTACAAAACTAGAAAGTGGAGCGTAAGTCAGTCTCAAACAAGGGATTTATTAAAACTTTACCCACACCAATAAAATTCAAACTAGCTACATTATTAATGTTTTGCTGAAATTACATTTCTACTCAAGCATAAATGGTGCTGTTGGGGAGTTTTTTAAAAAAAATGTAATGGCTTTACTGAGAAATAAGTAGTGTACAGTAAAGTGCACATAAAGTGTGTACTTTGATGAGTTTTGAGATGTCTACATCTGTGAAGTCATCCTACAATTAAAATAATCAATGTATCCATAACCCCTAAAGTTTCATCTTGTTCCTTTGCAATTCATGCTTCCTTGAGTATAAACACAGTAAAGTGCCCAAATAATCGTACAGCATGATAAATTTTTGCAAGGTCTATACATCCATGCAAAGAAGATCCAGATGAATCATTATCGCCACCCTAGAAGCTTCTCCTAGTGTCTGGTTCCAGTCACTCGCTCTGCAACTCTCTATAATCACTCTCCTGTTTAACAACACAATAGTTTTAACTGAATTATTACTTTAGAAATGAATTCTTTCATCTGGCTTTTATTCCACATGAGATTCATTCACATTGCTGTGAGTAGTTGATCATTCATTTCTCATTGCTGTAACATTTTTCTATTTTGGTATATTACCATTATACACTTAAGAACATTTTTTTTCATTACACAGCTTATGAGCATTTGGGTTCTTTCCAATCTTCCATTTCCATGTGTTCATTAGCCATGTGATACTCTATTATATGAAGTTTCTGTACAGTTTTTTGCTCATTTTTATCATATACGGGTCCTTTGTCAAATAACATATTGTGAATAGTCTCTCCCATTGTTTATTCACTCTTTAGTATGTTTTGATGAACAGAAGTTCTTAATATACTCTAATTTAAATTTTTATTATTTATGGTTACCACTTTTGTGAACTGCTTAG
This sequence comes from Homo sapiens, assembly GCF_000001405.40. Taxonomy (NCBI): domain Eukaryota; kingdom Metazoa; phylum Chordata; class Mammalia; order Primates; family Hominidae; genus Homo; species Homo sapiens. The sequence continues at coordinate 131,021,064 of NC_000003.12, read as the reverse complement.
GAAACTGCCTACTCCACGGTCATGAAAATGTTTTTTTGCTGTTCACATTTAGATCTATAATGTATCTAGAATTGGTTTTTTGTGGGTGCGTATGGTGTGAAATAGGGATCAGGATACCTTTTCCCCCCACATGGAAATCCAACTGAATCCATGAGTATAGCAGGCTGCTTATATTCCTTGCTAAGTAGAGATGACTTAAGTGTTCTCATCATTTACCTGGATTCAAAATAGAGTGAAATTTTAGTTCATTCTCTGCGCTCTGCTATCACCCAGCTTTCTCTTGGCATAAACTTATCAATTCTGAATTTAGCTCAGTGCTAATGGTTCTAATTAGCCCCTGAAAATTATAAATGTACCAGGTGCTCATGTGATTCCAAACACAAATGCAAGTACAAGTATAGAAACCTTGTGATAGTACCTATTCATTTTGTTTTTTAGATCTTGTAATACATTATCTGCTTTGGCCAGCTGTTGTTAATAAAAACTTTATAGTCTCTCATTTAATTCCCACAATAACCACATGGGATAGGGTTTCATTTTGGTTATGTTAGTTGCAATGGACAGAGCACCATTCAAGTTAACCAATGGGAGGTTAATCATAAGGAGACACAAAAGTGGATCATTCTTAAGGAGTAAGGCAGCCAAGACCAGTCTCTCTCTGGGCATCTCTGCCTCTCGGGGCAGCTGCTTCTGCAGGCTTGTGCTTTCGCTCCCCCTGGGGAAGAGGGAAAGTAGTTGTCACATGGGATAAAACCTAACTAACGTTAAGGGCTGTGAGTTGAGTACTTCCCCTTTTGGAAGGGACTGTGGACTGGTGGGTTTGATGAAACATCTTATACAAGTCATTATAATGACCATTTTACAGATAAGTCAGACAGACTGTAGAAAAGGTCAGAAACCTTTCGACCAAAGCCATAGGGTTAGTGCAGAGCGGAACATCTCTGAAGTCAAAGCCCAGACTGCTTTGTTTATGAAAAGTTGTAACTTGGCTCTATAATTCAGTAATTTAAATATATATCAGAAAAGAGTTGGTGTATTTTCTTAGCTCTACTTAGTGCATTTTAAAAACCAGTTTAAGAGTTTAGTTTCCACTTTACTTAAAATTTAAGTAGTTAAAACTACTTCCAGTAGGGGTAATTGGTTATACTATAAAGTTCTTTGCATATTTCTAATTTTAAAATTTGTATCACAATATTATTAAAAGCAGTATTTAGAAATAATCGTACTATTTAAAGTTTTCATGCATTAATGATAAAACTATTTTGTCATTTATGATGTGTTTTGTTTCAGGTTAATATCTTTAGTCTCAGCTGTCAACCACTCTTTCTACTAACTAGATGTTACATGCTGAGAAATGTTATTACCATCTCAACTTTCCAGAAAGCAGAAAATCTTTTTCTGGCTGTGTGCAGACACTAGGAATACAACTTTTCTTTTTCTTAAAGTTTGATTATAAAGTCCCCCAGAAGATGACCTTTTAATATTCCTGAGTGCATGACCTGTAAGGTCCCCATTCTGGTTCTTACAAGGTCTTGGTAATTCATTAAGGTAAAATTATTTCAACAAGAACCTCAGTGCTCTTATAGCTGTTTTACTTCTGAGCTTTTATTTGAAGTACACGCTAAACCATGAAGTAAAAGTATGGCGTGTTACTCCAAGCACAATGCAAGTAGTCCTTAAAATATTCCTATCTCCCTTGAATATACCTCTAATCTACAAGCAGCCACCCTGGGACAATCCCTGTGTGTCTTTTATGCAAAGACAATAAAGCATTCAACAGGGAAGGGACATGAGACAGGACCCAAACAAATAGAGTATATGCCACATAGGGTTCCTAAAAGCAACGTTTGTCTTCTGGAGGCAATTAGTAATGGCATCATGCTGAAGGCAAATGCCTGTTGCACAGGCACATACAGGTGGTGTTGAGTATACAGCTTTGTTTCTCAAAGTAGAATACTTGGGCTGCTAGTTAAAATGTATATTCCTCCTGGGCTCTCTCTCAGATTAGTCAATCAAAATTTATGGAGTAGGGCCTAAGGATTGAATTTTTAATGAGCTTCCCAGGTGACGTGCACTGAAGATGCTCACCAGCGTATACAAAGAGGATGGAATGACATAAGTAAAGGTGTAGGAGTAGGCAGTACACCCATTCAACCAACCATATTTATAAAGCATCTTATTAATGTTCTAAATGCTGTGAGTGTGGCTGATTTTTTTTCCCACAAGAAGATAAGTTTAACAGCTGACAGAAGTTTCAGTAGCATTAAATCTCTTCATGCTATGGTGGAAAAAAGAAATAACAGACATTTCCCAAAGTAACTTGCAGGATACTTGGTGTGTATTTTCAGCTCTCCTTGAGGAGGCGGCAGATGCTTCTGTTAGAAACCCTGAAGGTGAAACAGACCATTCTGGAGCCAATCCCTACTTCACTGAAGTTGCCCATTGCTGTCAGTTGCTACTGGTTGCAGCACACCGAGACCAAAGCAAAGCTACATCATCTACAATCCTTACTGCTCACAATGCTAGTGGGGCCCTTGATTGCCATAATCAACAGCCCTGGTAGGTAACTGGAAATTACAGGAGTATATTGTGGCATGTTGCTTGCAAACTGTTTACTCGAGTTTACACAAACAAAAAAGTATTCTTGGATTATTTACTCCCATTAATTGTATCACAACTTAGATGTGGAGGCACCAAAATATCATTCATTCATTGGTAAATATTTTTTAACACTTCATGTGCCAGGCTCAGTGCTGGAGGGCTTGAATCTTAAGTATACAGCAGTGAGATGTGTTGGGGTACTGCCAACTTCCATCTGTTTGGTGGCACCTACTCCTTTAACTTGTGAATTGTGACAGTGTATTTTGCCAGCTGCATTTTGTATTCCATGTTACCTATCCAGTTATTAGCACAGCAGCAACGTCATCACAAGAAACTTGCCCAGAAGTGAAACTTATCTAAATACCTACAACCACTACATTCTTGCTTATACATCTTTTTATTCCTTTTTCTCTGCTGTAGGTTTCAATTAGTATGTAAGTAGTGATGGCAGAAATAGTAATTTGTCCTTTTTTTTTTTTTTTTTTTTTTTTTTTGAGATGGAGTCTCACTCTGTTGCCTAGGCTGGAGTGCAGTGGTGCAATCTTGGCTCACTGCAGCCTCTGCCACCTGGGTTCCAGTGATTCTTCTGCCTCAGCCTTCCGAGTAGCTGGGATTACAGGTGCCTGTCACCGCGCCCAGCTAATTTTTGTATTTTTAGTAGAGACGGGTTTTCACCATCTTGGCCAGGCTGGTCTTGAACTCCTGACCTTGTGATCCACCCGCCTCAGCCTCCCAAAGTGCTGGGATTACAAGCATGAGCCACCGCGCCCGGCCAGTAATATCTCTTAAATACACTGAGGCAAGTTCATCTGCATATAATACCAGGTGAAGTAAATGCTGAAACACTGGGACACTTTAATACTTCAGTGGAATATCCTCTTTAAAGATTATGAATGCTCTAACACTGTATAAACATGCATAATAATTATACTCTGGAATAGTACTATCTAATATGGTGGCTACTAGCCACACATGGCCAAAGTTAAATTCCATTTAAATTAAAAATTCAGCTTTTCAGTCACACTAGCCACACTTCAAGTGTCAGGTAGTTACATATGGCTATAGGCTAGCCTACTGTATTGGACAGCACTGCAGAAAGTTCTATTAGATCGTGCTACTCTAGTTTACTATTTTAATAAGTTAGATAAAAGAATGAAACAGCATGGATTCCTGTTTCTAAAGTATTAAGGCTCAAGCTTGACAGCTGTCAGAGGGACTGTTGTTATATGACAGCCAACTTAACACAAAACAAATCAGTTAAGTCCCACTGCTGCTTTATGAACACAGGTTTAGAGTATTTCCTCTGATTGAATAATAAATACAGTATAAGAAAGCTCTCAGAGCACAAGCCTATTAAGTTTTTACCTGAGTCCAAGAGAAGGGGCATGTCAAGGGTCTGTTTCTTTTCTTTTAGGAAATGTGGACCCTGTACCCAGGCAGGCTCAGTGTCTTGCTCCTCGCTAGTTGGTAAAAGGTGGGCCTCCTTTTTATTATTTTCAAATTGGTCCAGATGTTATTTTGTGCACCCCTGCCCAAACAAATCTGTAGAAACTTACAGCTAAAAACACACAACATTCCTTATTTCCTAGGATTGTTGCTTCTTGCCCCTTATCCTCTACTATGAAAAGAAAATGATTATTTGCCAAATTCTCCAAGTCATACTTTAGCTTCCTCCTATAAAACACAGAGGTCAAAATGTGTTTTGAACACACAGGTTGTTTCTTTAACACAAATGCACCACAGCTTGGGAGTTTCGGTGAAAGAGAACAGTAAAGAGAATAATATTTAATAGTCATTTGTATTTTTCATAGACACAGATTTAGGGTTTAGAGAATTCAAATGCAGACATGTTTATGGTCAGGTAGTAGACCAGTGGAAAAGATCTTATTTCAGGGAAAAAGTAAATTCCGATGGGTTGAATAAAGTTAGGTCATCATTAAAAAGACAGTTCAGTATCAATATTTCAATTTATACAGCAAGGCATTTATGAAGCCAGAAGAGAAAAACATCTTAGTTTTTTTAAATTAATTTCTTTCTTTATAGAATTTGTAGTATATGTGGAGAAAATGAAAAGCTGTTACAGTGCTTTTAGAAATACTGCCCTTGGGCTGTTTCTTTATTTAGGTAAGGAAGAGCTGCAGGAAGATGGTGCTAAGATGTTGTATGCAGAGTTCCAAAGAGTGAAGGCGCAGACACGGCTGGGCACAAGACTGGACTTAGACACAGCTCACATCTTCTGTCAGTGGCAGTCCTGTCTCCAGATGGGGATGTATCTCAACCAGCTGCTGTCCACTCCTCTCCCAGAGCCAGACCTAACTCGGTAAGCACCATGGGAAACTTTAGTTCAGATGGAAGCACACAAAAGTAAATACAGTATTTTCACTTATATTTAAAGCAACAAAGTTACTTAAAAAAAAAAACCAAAACAAAAAAAAACTAATCTTAATGTAATTGATTTTGAGTCACTGTTACAGCTGAAGAGCTGGAAACGGGAAAAATATTAAATTATTTCCATATTCTCAAAGAATGTTTCCATGATTCAATCCAATTTTAAAAAATCAGTTCCTTTAAGTAATACATTAATATGTGGGAGAGGGGAGGCAATCATTGGTAGGATACAACTCTCTCCTTTCCTCTCAGTCTTTAAATGTCACTTTGTAGAGCCTTTTTCTGATAACCCACCCTAGTGAGACACACTGTCTACCCTCATTCACTCTAGTCCTGTTACTCTATTTTTTTTTAATTGCATTTCTTACCACTTGGCATATGGCTTACTCATTCATTCAGATATTAAATGCCTACCCTGTGCTAGGGTGTAGGGACAAAAACAGAATCTCAGCTCTAATGGAGCTTTCATTCTAAGTGAGATGATGAGTAGATGCCCAAGTGAACTTAACCTAGGATGTTTGCTTTACCAGGCAAGAAGGACAATAAGGGAGTTGAGCCTATGTGCCACAGAGTAATTATAATGTTTGTCTGTGGAGTTTAAGCTGGGTATGATAAAAAGAAGTGACAGCAGCAGTAGGGTGTGGAGCAGTGAAAAAAGTGATAGGATCAATGGATTGGACATCTTGGTAATTGACCATCCAGGAGGTACTTGAGGGAGAGATGAAGATAAAAAGGAGATAGATTGTGTTTTGTTTGTCTCTCCACTCAGATGTAAACTCTGTGGGGGGAGGGGCTTGTCTATTTTATTTGCTGTTGCAGCCCCAGTGCCTTCAATACTTTGAATGAGGATATATGGACGCATACAAAATATGGTGGGACTTTACATGTTTCAAGGTAAAAAGCCTCCTGGCAGTAAACAGTGTTGTTAATATATCTCTGGGCCTTATATCTGAGCTAACACAAATAAGACTAATTGGCCTTTGACCCCTGGATTCTTTATTTCTTTCGTTTAATAATTTAAGGCCATTCTTGACTGGATCCTCTTTAGTTACCACAAATCCTTTTAAAACAAAACAGGAAATGCAAAACAAAACAGTTCTCTTAATAATGATTTAAACAGCAGGATTGTTCTTGAATCTTAGCATAACCAAGGCTTTTTACACAGAGATGTTACACTGATTAAATGATGGTTCTACATGGATTGCTAAGGTACCAGTTTATCAGCTTTGTCCATAATAAACTTGTGGATTCCAATTAATCCCATCTTCTATTTGTGAAGTAGGTTTTTAGTCTCAGTGAATGACCTTGCAAATGATGCCAATAAATTTTCTCATATTCTAACAAACTGCCTGTTTGGTTTATCAGGGTCCTTTTAAATTCCTTTTCTTTAAAATTAAAGTGTTTGTTAAAGACACCTGCTCAGTCTGGGGCTAGCTGCAAAACCACTAAGCATGCATCACGTAATTTGTTGATGAAAAGTTTTTAAGTATCACCAGCAAAGAATCTTTGTCATACCAGCTCAGTTCCTTCCTTCAAAGAACAGATTATTCTTAAGTAATTTCGATAATATTATAGAGCAATAAGAGCTCTCATTGTTTAGATGCATTTGTTGAAGCTATGTCAATGGTAGTTATCCTGTTGCACTGAATTACTTCTTTAACAACATACTTTTTTCTTGCTTTGAACAGACTGTACAGTGGAAGCCTGGTGCACGGACTATGCCAGCAACTGCTAGCATCGACCTCTGTAGAAAGTCTCCTGAGCATATGTCCTGAGGCTAAGCAACTTTATGAATATCTATTCAATGCCACAAGGTCATATGCCCCCGCTGAAATATTCCTACCAAAAGGTAGATCAAATTCAAAAAAAAAAAGGCAGAAGAAACAGAATACCAGCTGTTCTAAGAACAGAGGGAGAACCACTGCACACACCAAGTGTTGGTATGAGGGAAACAACCGGTTTGGGTTGTTAATGGTTGAAAACTTAGAGGAACATAGTGAGGCCTCCAACATTGAATAAAACTCAGTTTGCATCAAACTAGATGTATTTAATATAATCCTTACTTAAAATTCTTCCGTTACCACCCTTGAAACAATTAGCTTTTTCTTTAGGACTGACCTGTTAGGGGATAAACATCACAATAATCTGAATTCCAAGTTATTTTGTATTTTGTTTTTAATAAATACAACCTGATTTAAGAAGCTTCTGTATTTCTAAATATGTTTGAAACCATGTTTATACTTCTCATGTTCCATTTCAGCAAGTTAATGGTAATATAGTCTATATGCTTTAAATTGCAGCAATTTAGCCAGCTACATTCTCAGAAAGTAGAAGTCTCACTCAATTATTGCCTTTAAGTAGCAGCTGGTTATCATTTCAAAAAGTTTTAAAAACAGTTTCCTCTTTGTACTTTAGTATGAAGTCTGGCCAATGAAAGTTAGAAGTGAGGATGCCAGACAGAAAACTGTCTCTACTAAAAGTAAGTACTTAGTCAATGAGACCATGACAGGATTGAAGAGCACTTTAGGTGCACTCCAGGTTTTAAAGGAGAAGTTGAAACTAATGGCTTCAGCCAAATAAGAAACAGCATCCTGAGCTGTTAGACCTGGAGAAGGAGGAAACAGTGAGAAGTGAAAATATCAAGAGATATATGCAGCAATACCAGACCCTATGCCCTCTTTATACTACAGATTTTGACCCATTAATGAGATGTGAAAGTATTTAATGAGTCATACCCAGCATTTTTTAATGAAAAAGTTAGAATGGAAAATATCAGATATACATATCATGTATTAGGTGATTGTGTAAAATATATTCCTTACTGTGGACTGTAGGGAAGAAGTTTAAAAGGTACTGCTCTGGAAAATACTGCCAAATAGAGGCTGCTAAAATTAGAAATACCCAGAGTTCTGAAAGTGCCGGCCAGTTCCAAATGAGAACTTGAAAATAAAGAGAACCAAGTAGAATAAATGCATTGGGCAAGATCTGAAAATATACTCAACCTTCATTTTACTTGTATTCATACAAATTGTGTTCTTCCTTCTGTACTCTCCCACTGGTATATTCCATCAGGAATAGCCCTAAAGGTAGCTTTAAAGCTGCCATTTTGAGCAGGCCTATGTACAGTTCCTAATATCTGATAAACAATTTTCTTTACTTTACTAGAATTACCATACTCTTAGAGAAATAAGCCCAGCATCAGCCAGTGTCAAACACACACCTGCCAAGTGTTGACTTTTACAAAAGGCACAATAAATCATTTGCCCCTAGAGTATTCAACCCTAACAATTACTTTGTTAAATAAGAGTTCTTGAAATAAGGAAATTTTTATTATTTTCAGAGGATTGCATGGGAGTTCCTCAGTAAGGTTATTTTTATAACCTTACTAACAACCATCTCCAAAGAGATGGTTACTCCCAGAAGAATCAAGAAAAGAGTAGTCAAGTACATCTATTTTTGAGAAGAAATGTTACTGGAAAATAAGGTATCTAATGAGGACTATAAACATGTGAGACCGGTGCTGGATGTAGTGGCTCACACCTGTAATCCCAGCACTTTGGAAGGCCAAGGCAGGCAGATCATTTGAGGTCAGGAGTTCAAGACCAGCCTGGCCGACATGGTGAAACCCCGTCTCTACTAAAAATACAAAAATTAGCCGGGCATCATGGAGGGCACCTGTAGTCCCAGCTACTCAGGAGGCTGAGGCGGGAGAACTGCTTGAACCCGGGAGACAGAGGCTGCAGTGAACCGAGATGGCGCCACTGTACTCCAGCCTGGGTGACAGAGCAAGACTGTCTCAAAAAAAAAAAAAAAAAGAAAAAAGAAAAACCATGTAAGACCGTTGTTATATCAAATCCTCCCTACCTTGATTCCTGGAGTTTGAAGCTAATCTGGAGACTATATTAATATAACTGTCCCATTTCCTGGGTTATCATCAACACTGCTTCTTAAAACCACTGAATTACATCTACCATGTTTTTCTTTCATTAAAAGTGTCCTCCTCCAGCAGAAGTAATAAGTCAGGTTCCTTTCTCTAACCATGGCACTCAGGACCATTCCACTGAAATTATCCAGCCTTGCAGTAAAGCAGTGACAGTCTAATAATGTCCCTTTAAGTATACTACTCTGGTGTATATCTTCTCCTACATGTATTAGATGAGAGGTCACAGGCACTTCACAGGAGTATGTAAGGTGGTTCACCGAAAAATGATGACATAGCACCTGAACCCCCTGCAGAAGACATTCTTGTTCAGGCTGCTTGGGAGACAACACACAATGAAATGACAAGAGATTATTTTATTAAGTTGGTGCAAAAGTAACTGTGGTTTTTACCCTTACATAAAGCAGTCTGTCAAGTGCAAAATGGCAAAGTGCAGACTGAATACTACAATAAGGAAACAGCGGTCACCAGGATGAGAAGAGGTTAAATCACAAGAAGATTCTCAGACCTGGCTTTTGACCTGGCTTTAAAGAATAGGAATTTTAAAATTGAGATCAGATATACATTAGGAACACCTGTGTAGAAGCAGAATATTGTACATCCCATATTCCCTTTCCAAAATCTAGTTTCCTATGTTTGCAATCAAGTGATTAGGTCCTGCTCTTTCTAATTCAGTTCTAACAAATGAAATCTCATCTTAGGCTTTGGAAACTGTCTTCAATTAGCAGTTCAAGTAACAAAAGGAACTCTGGGCAGCTAAGATGAATAAATTTTAGAGAGAAAGCTGCAGAGACAGGAAAACTTTTACTATAACCTAATCATGTTCTGTATTTAGTGGTGATAAAATTATACTGGAAGTCTATTTTTTAAAAGCACTTTTTGAGACACCTGGACCTTGAAAGTTTAATATGCATCCTGTAAATATAATCACAGGTCTTTCATGCCATTTGATCATGGGGAAAGAATTCAAATTAACCTTTTGACATCTGAATTTGAATTTCAGAAGATAAAGACCATAGCTAAAAAGCCCTTAGAATTATCTTTTTCTCCTTTGTGCACAAAAGGAAATAAATCAATGACTATGCCTCAGTTGCCCTACTTGCAAAATAAGGATTATAACAGTCCAAATTATTGTGTAAAAGATACAATAACAAGTATATTTAAGTTACTTAGCACAGTGCCTGATACTAAAAGTGTGTTATAAGTGATAGCCATTGTTATATCCGCACATGAAAAGCCAGGGCAAAGCAAGGAATGTGGGAAGAAGTGAGTGAGTGTTAAGCAGTACAAAGATTAAGACAACGTGAGACCAGAGTTGCCACAGGTTTAAGAGCAGAATTTTGCAGAGGCAAAGGAGATCAACACTATCAAATATGGTGAAGAAGAAAGATGGGCAGGAATGTGAGAATATTATAGCAACTCCAGCCGTAGCCACACTGGAAAGGGTAGAAAACTACCAAGACAATTTCAATGGGCAGCCAAGCTCAAACTTAGAAAATAATGAAAAAAGACCAGAAGGAATTATCCCCATGTGAGTACCTGTCCCCCTTGAGCCCTTTTTCCTATGTTCAGAGAGTTTTCTGTAGTGTTTTTAAAGCCCAATTTGAAAGAGCCCTTGGCATGTTTAAAGATAGAAAAAGGTGGCCGGGCGTGGTGGCTCACACCTGTAATCCCAGCACTTTGGGAGGCTGAGGTGGGCAGATCACGAGGTCAGGAGATCGAGACCATCCTGGCTAACATGGTGAAACCCCGTCTCTACTAAAAATACAAAAACAATATCAGCCGGGTGTGGTGGCGGGCACCTGTAGTCCCAGCTACTTGGGAGGCTGAGGCCGGAGAATGGTGTGAACCCGGGATGCAGAGCTTGCAGTGAGCCGAGATCGTTCCACTGCACTCCAGCCTGGGCAACAGAGCAAGACTCTATCTCAAAAAAAAAAAAAAAAAAAAAGATAGAAAAAGATGAAGAGCAGATATTACCATTTCCTAGGAATTTCCTCTTCCTGCAACTACCAGGGTTATAACCTGGCCCTACTCCATAATCCTAAGGAGGCCAAACCCAGTTTTCCCCCTAGCAAGTTTGCCAGATTTCACTGGGTGCTGCTCTCTACCACATGCTGTTTGGCTGGCTGGTGTACCATTTACCTGAGCAGCACCTGGAAAGCTGTCACTACCAAGACCAGGAAGTTCCATAAAAGGATAAACTTTCAGTGGTGCCTGACTCAAAATATGACACTGTATTTTCAATAAGACAGATGTGGGGTACTTGGTGTTTATCTCGTAATGTCTTAATGACACATTTCAGTCATCACAGCTGAAAGTGATTCTGCATCTTGTACCAATTTGAAATTAAATACTACTCTTGGAAAAATGTATTAAAAACATTACACCCCACTTTCAGCAACAGCTTTCTGAGCCATACAGGATAAGCTGCTTCTGCATTTCTTTCCAGAGGTGTGAGTAATACCAAATTCAAGTCCATCCAGCTGTAAAAATTCTAAGACGAGAACTTCATGTTAAGGAAGGAAGTTTTAAAATTTAAAAGGCGTGACTGCACCAGGCCATATAACAGTCTGTTAAAATGAGAGAAGTAAATGAATGAGATAATACATGAAAGAAGTATTTCCAGCTAGTTTCACTGGATTCTGTTTTTAGGGACAGAAATCAAATGAAAAATGAACATGCTACAATGCACATGCAATCTCTTCTATTCCTGCTACTCCTGAAAACATTCTATTTGGTTAAAATAGCTAAGTCTTTCTCTCAAAATATAAATATATTTTTATATTTATGTATACATGCACATATACAGTCACCTTTTGGTATCTGTGGGAACTATGCAAATATGTTTTGGTTTAGAATGTTCTGTTCTGAAAAAATGAGTTAGTGAGTATATTTTTTCCCTAAGACTGAGCTGTTAGGATAGTTTAGTTTCTGCTATTACTAAATGTTGTCTTCTCTAAGCAAGATAACATACTTAAGCCTATTCAGATTAAGCTTTATTTCTCTGGGTTTGTACAACCAATAGGAGGGAAACCTCCACTTCTCTTGTGCATCCAAGAGGTAGAAGTGAGCCCATCAACCAGATAGGAGCAGACTGCTTCAGATGGATAAAAAATTGGGTGAGCAAAGAGAGAGAGATGGGAAGCACAATTCAGATGGGACGGCAGATCAGAACACTCCAGCCACTGTAAGAACAAGAAGCCTTGATAATGTGATGGCATGTCCTCCTGGTTGATGATGTTTTAACAACAGTCTGAGACACTCTGACTTTCTCTACATGGGGGCCTTGATGGAGACTCAGAGTAGTCACTGACATCAAATCTGCTACCAAGAGCATCCATTCAAGAGAGAATATACTGTTGGGAGATTGGAGGGTAGAGAAAATTGATGGTACTTCCTTTCTAATCCACTGAATGCAAGGTACAGGGCCTATTTTCCTCTTTTTGAATATCTAAATGAGTAGGCAAACTTTCTACAAAGGGCTAGATAGTAAATATTTTAGGCTTTACAGGTCATATAGTCCCTTGCAACTGCTCACCTTTGCTGCAACTGCTCACCTTTGCTGCCACAGCATGACAGTGCCAATAAACAATATTGTAAATGAATGTGGATAGTTGTGTTCTAATAAAACTTTATTTACAAAAATAAGCAACAGGAGAATTTGACCAGCATGGCACAGTTTTTCTTTTCTTTCCTTTTTTTTTTTTTTTTTGAGACAGTCTTGTTCTGTTGCCCAGGCTGGAGTGCAGTGGCGCAATCTAGGCTCACTGCAGCCTCCACCTCCCAGGTTCAAGCAGTTCTGGTTCTCAGCCTCCCAAGAAGCTGGGATTACAGGGATGCATCACCACGCTCTACAGATTTTTGTATTTTTAGTTTCGCCATGTTGGCCAGACTGGTCTCGAACTCCTGGCCTCAAGCAACCCGCCTTCCCCAGCCTCTCAAAGTGCTGGGATTAAGGGTGTGAGTCACCATGCCTGGCCATAGTTTCTACACCAAAACTAAATAATAGCTCCATGTGGGTGAGTTAAACAAGATCAAATTAAACTATTTCCCTAACTTGTAATACCTCTAGCTGATGCATGGACCATCCAACCATCCAGACCCACTCCACATAGAAAAATACTTACAAAATCTAATGCAATCCTATTACGCAACCACACAGATGAATGAGACAGGAATAGGAATTAAAACATACTAATTTATAGCTTGTTAAAATTGATCTAATAATGCTTAAATGTAAAGTTTGTCATGTCTTTCCTATCAGACATACATTTTCTACAGTCACCTATTTGTAAGATGCACATATCACGTGTTTCACAGTATGCCTGCAAGATGCAGACCTGATAAGAGCAATGGTCCAGGCATTATATGGTATTTTATTTATGACCCTAAGATGGCACCAAATTGTCACTTGTCAACTAAAGGGCACTTTGGTATACTTATCAGAGAAAACTTTAATAGAAAGTTCTTTAATGTAGTTGAGAAGATTAGTAATTTTTTAAAAAACTGTATTAAAAGGCACATTTTTCAAAAGCTACAAATCCAGAGCCCAAAAATGGATCTCTGGAATTTATATAGAACAGTTTGCTCAGTTTCTGGCATTGAGTGCTCATAACAATGAGATGTGGTTTCTACTCAAAAGGGTTATTAAGTAGAGCAATGCAACTATTGCTTAAGAAATAATGATTCTGGGGCACCCTTGGGTTAAATATGAAAAGAAGTTCTGTCAGGCCTAACAGCCATGAAGCCACCACAGAAATGTGGGCCTTTGTCAGTATATTTGTCAGTTTGGCCAGATTTGCGTAAAACAGGATAGGAATAGCAAAATCAGGTGTGTACGGTGACCTGCAAATGAAACACCATCTACCTGGAGCAGCTGTGCAAGCACAGGCTGTTACATCATATATGTTCACGTGTACACGAGAACACCAGCAGATTTACATTAGAAAAGGATTTCTAAGGATAAAAACTAATGGCTCAAATAATTGTTTTCACTTTTCTCCCCAAACTTTGACATTTAATTTTGAATGAAAGAGATCACCAAATTTCTGTTTAGATTTATCAACAAGTGTTTTCAACTTAAATTTTTAATGCTTTCTAAAACATAAAATCCCACAATTTTATATGCAAACTTATTGCTACATTCAAAGAGTGTTTACAAGAAATGAGGCTGGGCGTGATGGCTCACGCTTATAATCCCAGCACTTTGAGAGGCCAAAGTGGGCAGATTGCTTGAGCCCAGGAGTTTGAGACCAGCCTGGGCAACATGGCAAAACCTAATCTCTACCAAAAAAAAATACACAAAATTAGCTAGGTATGGTGGCATGCACCTGCAGTCCCAGCTACTTGAGAGGCTGAGATAGGAGGATCACTTGAGCCCAGGATGTCCAGGCTGCAGTGAGCCATGATCACACTACAGAGCAACACCCTGCCAAAAAAAAAAAAAGTGTACAAGAAACTGTACTACACACACACACACACACACACACACACACACACAAACACACACTAGAAATCTGGAAAGGTTATTCTTGTTGGCATTTCACTGGGCTCTGAAGTAGAGGTAAAAGCTCTGATTCTCAACATTGGGACAGAGAAAAAACGATTTCAACTTAAAGTAACACTGTCCAAAATGATCTGGAAGTGGACTGTATTGGAGCATTGTGTAGGATATGAGGCTAGAAAGGCCAAAAAAATTACGAGTAAAATTTAAAAAAATAAACAGGCCAACCGTGGTGGCTCATGCCCGTAATCCCAGCACTTTGGGAGGCTGAGGCGCATGGATCACCTGAGGTCAGGAATTCGAGACCAGCCTGACCAACATGGTAAAACCCTGTCTCTACTAAATATGCAAAAATTAGCTGGGCATGGTGGCACAGGCCTGTAATCCCAGCTACTCGGGAGGCTGAGGCAGGAGAATCACTTGAACTCAGGAAGCAAAGGTTGCAGTGAGCCAAGATCGCACCACTGCACTCCAGCCTGGGCAACAGAGCAAGACTCCTTCTCAAAAAACAAACAAATGAAAAACCAACATTGTTTTCTACTCTTCTGCCATAATTACTCATTCAGAGTAAGTAGCTGTTTTCTAATGGTAATGTTATTTACTCATTGGGGTTTCCTTACGTGGCATACCTTAAGCTATGTGGTATGCCACATAAACAGACACACACATATACACACACACACACGCTCTCACCTCTTAGAAAGTGTCTTACTACATGTATCAAAAAAATTGCTACCAGTAATTCAGATCAGTGTTTTCCAGTCAGTAACCTTAATAACAGATTCCCTATTAACATTCAACAACAAAGGAGATTGAAATATTATCTTGTCCTTCTGCATTTTGAATTTACACAACTGTTTGCTGATTAATAACTATGCTAAAGGAAAGTTTTTAAAGAAAATCTTATTTTGTGAAAGCTGAGTTTACTTTGACTTATCGCTTAATTTAACAACAACAAAAAAAATGGATGCTTGTTTTTCTACTAGCTTATAATTAGTCAGCTATAGCTTTGATTAACACATCCGTCTGGGAAATCTCAAAGACACCACAAGCTGTACATTTCAGATGGACCTGTGTCCCACTAAACCCTGCTTAGCTTAGGTTCTTCTGCTAATAGCTCTACTATTCAAGCCAAAGGCCACAGACTAGTATCTTTTCCATTTTCCTTTTCTCCTGTCCAGTCATGTCAATGCTATCTCTCAGAAGATACAAATTCAAAGCTGGGCACAGTGGTTCACACCTAATCCCAGCATTTGGGAGCCCAAGGCTGGTGGATCACCTGAGCTTAGGAGTTCGAGACCAGCCTGGGTAATATGGTGAAACCCTGCCTCTACCGAAAATACAAAAAAATTAGCCAGACATGGTGGTGTGCACCTGTAATCCCAGATACGCAGGAGGCTGAGGTGGGAGGATCGCTTGATCCTGGGAGGCAGAAGTTGCAGTGAGCCAAGATCACACCACTGTACTCCAACCTGGGGGACAGAGTGAGACCCTGCCTCAAAAAAAAAAAAAAAAAAAAAAAAGACAATTCAAATTCCATGCCTTTCTCTCCATCCTGACTGCCACAGCTCAATTATCCCTTTACTCCTTAAGCTTCCTTGATTTTCTAATTGGTCTCCCTATTTCAGTCTTCACAATTGACCCTCTGTGCTTCCATCAGCATGTTACGATACAAAAATCCAAACTCACATCAAACTCTTGAAATGCCCTGGCATGCTATCAGACAAATCAAATGTCTCTGCTTTCAGCATTAGGTTCCTGCCTATCTCTCCAACCCTTCACACTGTACCTCCTGCCTTAACAGTGTCAAACTCATTGTGGTTTTCACAGATTCCTTATAGCCCCTACCACCACCTCTGCAGAGGCTTTGCTGTTTGGCTGCACTGTCCTACTGCTTCTCAGCTGGAGTTTCCCAACTTAAAATTTGATTCAGCTGTCATTAGTTCTAGGAAATTTCTATGACAAATTTCTTTGAGGATCCCATGAAGTTATTTCTCTACTTCAACTACTGTAGCATTCTGGACAGCATTTACCACTCTAGTGGATATATTTCACATTGGTCTCCAGAACTGACTGAAAACTTCCTGAAGGCATGATACTACTTTTTCTTTTTAAATCTAAACCTACAACAATGTTTATGGACAATTGTATCTACATTAATACCAGGGACTGGTTAACCATTATCCATTATTAACAATAACCAACTCTTGACAACCAAAACCCAAAACAATGTCATTAAATAAGAGTTAATAGTTCAAGTGGTAACTGAGCTCAAGGAAACTTAACCATCAGAATGATCTGTCTGTCCAATCACGTACTAGTTAAGGATGAACATCCATACCACGTTTTAGTATGCAAATCAGCTGCTGTTTGGATTGCAGGAGCTCAGTCTTAAAAAGCACTTCAAAGATTTTCAAATGCCAATGTCAAGGAAACATCTAGTGAAAAGTGCACTGGACTCATTTTAATCTATGTGTATTTTTAAAGTAAATGGGCAAAGATCCCTATTTACTTTCTTGAAACAGCTTATTAGCAGTTATATCCCCTGCTATCTGTGTTCATGGGCTCCTACAGGGCAGGGATGCCATTATCGTTCTACTTCTAGCACACTCCAGGTACTAAAAAAATGTAATGAAAAGATAACCAGTTCATCATCTAACTTCATGGGTGAGTCATATGTGGAAGTGAATTGCCAAGTGACAGAGGCAGAAAGCAAGGTAGAGTTAATTAAGTTTCCTAAATATTATGTTTATTGTTTGCCTCCAATTCATTTCAGTGAGAAACTATTTTTAAGTGTGACCAATACTTACTTTACTTATATAGTATATCAAGGAGACCAAAACTTAAGTGATCTCAAAAAGACTACCAATGTAAAATACATACCCTACATGGGCATGGCAGGTAAATAATGTGTCTTATTCTTGTGAGGGTGGTTACTGCTATATAAATAAAGCCTGTATCCTGAGAGGGGAGGGTCTTCGGGTTTCATGGTTTCACTTTTGTTTCATCTCTGGGTCATGCAATGTCCAGCACAAATGTGACACAACATGTTCAGCCTTGTTCTGTGTGGCCAGTTTTGATCATTTCAGAACTGTTTACCTAATCAGTGAATTATTTTAAGTTCTTTTCTTTTCTTCCCTGATGTTTAGCCATTATGGGGCCAAATAACTCCATAAGGTAGTCTAACAGGGAAAAACATCAAGTAAGTTAGTATTGTTAGGGACTCTAGCAAGTCCTAGGATTAGGAAATAGGGTAAAAATTTAAAATTTAGATACTAGCCCATTTAACTCATCCATGTCAACTTGGATTAATATATTATGGAAAATTGCAATCTGGATCTGTACTGTACATTCAACTTCTTTTTAAATCATAGATTCTGTGTACTATGCATTCTCCAGCATCCATATGGATAATTTTAATTTCTGTATCTTCAGCATCCATATGGATAATTTTAATGCTAATAGTCCCCACTGGGATGTCATTAACTTAAGAAATCATTTTTATTTTTATAGTACAAAGCAAATGAATGTATAGGCACATTTATTTCAATCAAGTCATAATCTGAACCTAAAATGCAAAGCAAAACATTAACGTGCATTTAATACGTATTTCAAGTCTTTGTAACAGAGAATAAAAATCATTACAAAATTAAGGTATGAGACATCAAGTCACTAATGATAGAGTTGATTAGACAATGGCTTCCATGTTCCATCTAACGACATGGAACAATGTACATTTGACAATTCAGCCTTAAAGGGTTAAGTAGAATAAACTGCAGCCAGCTCCTTACACTCAACTGCCTCAGTAACAATGACTCAAAGAATAGATATTTTCCCTATCAATGACAATATTTCAGTGCTAACACTTGCAGTTTAATATTGGATAAAAGCTAAGGAGTGGTTCATCCTGACAGATTATAAAAGATAAAACTTATTGGCTTCAAGAAGGATTAAACCTGTTAGAATTGGGACCAATTTTTGTTTATATACTCAACAGAAAAACAAATTTCTAATTTTAAATTTCTGGCCCACATACTCAAAACAAATGACCTATACCTCATCAAGCTTTCATAAAAACTGATGGCATTACACACAAAATCCACCTATTTCCCTAGCATGCCCAATGAAACAAAAAGAAGGTACAGAACACATGATGAAAGTAGAAGAGATATACTCAGGTTTGTGCTAAAATCTAGGCCAAAGAAGCTTCAGATGCACACAGAGCAAGACCAGCAAAGAATCTTCCACATATACTCTGGTTCATAAACCATTTGTTTGGGTTTGGGGACTTTTTATTCTAAGTCCAGTAGCCTATACTTCCTAAGAAATATGATTAAAAACATACATAACAGTAAAAATAATAAAATAGAATTACTTAGCTGAGGTATTTGGATTTATATTTAGAGGATGACAAAATGATATTTGACAAAGTATATATCTTTACCTCAAAAAGGAAGACATGTTAATATAATTTATTATAAACTTCAACCCAATCAGTCTTAAATGTTTTTGACTCTATGACTAAGCGTTAATTATGGACACTGTTACCCTAGAACACCACTTGATAGCCCTGCATGAATTCTGCCAAACCAAAGACATACCTTTTTAAAATAAAAATAAAGCAACCATTTACACTTACTAAGAAAAACAAAAATTTACTTCAAATTGTAGTATAGGCTTTTCAATCACAAAAAGAAAGAAAAGAACAGTGATCTGACAGTGGTCACATCCTGTGCAAAAAACTTGATACAAAAATGATAGCACATGGTATCTGAGCTGCTTACATTACAAGAAAAAGGAAATACAGTAGCTGAAATATGGCACTCCTGGGAATCAACTTCTAAACCAAATAGAATGCCTTTGAAATGATTAAATTTATTTGTGTATTAGTAAGAAAGCCCCACCACCATAAATAGTACAATATTTAAAAATAAAAAAAAATATATCTATCTAAGATAGATAGTGTATTTGTACTGTTAGACTTCTTTAAGTGCAGAAGGTGGTTCAGGTTTTGCCTTTTTAATTAAATAACTGACCATATGCTTTATAAAGTTTCACTCAATCACAAAAGCCAATTTAAATCAAGGAATATGATATCAAAGTTGCATAATTTCATTTGGGACTGCCAGCAGGTTAAAGTCTTAAGTCTTTAACATTAATGTTCATTTTTAGTCAATGAATAGTTAAAAAGTTCTCAAATCTTCATATCCTCTTGAACTTGCCCTTCTAAATGATCCTCAGACTGCAATTCCTAGTTTGCAAATAAAATAATGCAATATGCATCATACTTCAAGAAAAGATGATGATGTCGAACTAACATGCTTCTGGATCTTTTCCCTGCTCCTTTCAACCTTCTTTATAATTTCTGCCACTATGCACACTGATGAGGTGAGACCCAAAAGAAACAACAGATCTGCAAGAGAAAATAAGTTGGGTTTTACATTTCTTTGAAACTTACAGTTGCAAAGCTTAATAGCTTACATTTTTCTAGCATTTTAACACAACTTTTTTTTTTTTTTTTTTTTTTTCTGAGATGAAGTCTTGCTCTGTCACCCAGGCTGGAATGCAGTGGCATGATCTCAGCTCACTGCAACCTCCGCCTCCTGGGTTCAAGCCATTTGCCTGCCTCAGCCTCCCAAGTGGCTGGGATTACAGGCATGTGCCATCATACCTGGCTAATGTTCGTATTTTTAGTAGAGAGGGGGTTTCACCATTTTGGACAGGCTGGTCTTGAACTCCTGACCTCAAGTGATCTGCCTGCCTCAGCCTCCCGAAGTATTGGGATTACTGGCGTGAGGCATGGCGCCTGGCCACCACAGCTTTCAAACACATTGTTTCACAACTATTCCATAAGGCAGGCACAATCACCCTCAGTTAAAAATAAGAAAAGAAAAAAAGATATTAAGTGACTTATCCAAAGTCACATAACTAGGAAAGGCAGCAGCCAGAATTAGAACCCAAGTCCTCTGACCACTTTCCCTGAAACCTTATGTGGCTAGCCTTTAACAGTATCACCAACAAAAGGAGTTTATTTCATAGATCACACAGCCCTTTAAAAAAGTACTGTATCAACAGTAGTAGACAATTTGAATGACAATGCCTATCTGAAGATTAAAAATTTGACATTAATATGTTCTATTTCAAAGCATAGAAGACTTGTCTTTACAATACTATCCACACTATCTCAATTCTTATTTACTGCTTGGAAAATTGCAGATGTTTCCTTAAAATGCCATTTTTTTAAAAAGAGGAAGAAATGTGAATATGGAATTAAAATACTGAAATTCAACTAGTTCAATTTTAAGGTAAATTTTAACTTACAAGAAAAAATACAGTGAAACTGTATAACTCCTTTTCATAAATACCCAAATTGAGAACTCAATAAAGGATAGCATTACTGTCAAATATATCATTCCTCACACCTACACAGGAAAACTAATTTTTAAATGCACTGTATTATACATTTAATAAATGGTAATGTAAGAAAAATGTGTAATTTCCAAATAGTCTTTATAAAACATTCTGCTATTTGGTCAGACTGACATTTTGTGAAATTAGAATGTACAAACAAGAAAGAATAATGAAATTATTAGTTTACTGAAAATTCTAACTTTAAAGAAGAGAGCAACTTGGTTTTCAGGGAGATTAAGTCTAGTTTTCTCTTCATACAAGATGGCATAGTACATAAAAAGTTATAAACTATACTCTAGAGCAGGTTTTGATTTGCTATATTTGAGAATCACGTATTATGATTTTTATAACAATTGATAACCTATAAAAGAGCAAAAACCAAAACCCTGGAGTTAGGAGAGTAATTCCCCTGAGCTTCCCCAAGTGAAAAAATAGACTCCTTTTTCAAATCAAGTGAGTTACTTATTTTGCTATTTTAAAAGAATTTTAAAATTAAAACAAACACATTAGAAAATATGATTTATCTAAAATACATAAATGATAAAGATAACGTTTTCTTTACCCAGTATGCTTAGGCTCTCAGTCTGAAAAACCTTCTGAAGCGGAGGAAAGTAAATAACTAGTAATTGTCCCATGATGGATCCAAGAACTGCATAGCAAAACATTCTATTACTGCAGAGTCCAATCTCAAACACAGACTTGGTCTGTTGGCAGAGCAGAGAGTTCATTTATTACTCCTTGGTCACAGAAATAACTTCTTTATTATATTCACTTCTAATTTTTAACAAGCAGTGTCACTTTATCACTGAATTGTGCAATGTCAATTCTATGAAATATCTTAAATTTTACTACTGTTTTGGAATAATTCAGATGGAATAAAAGTAAATATTAAAGTAGCTTTTATTTTATTTATCAAGAAAAGGCTTGCTTAAAAAGTGACACTATATAATTTAGACCATAGAAAGAAAAGAAACCTTTTAACATCCCAAACATCAAGAAACTTTATTTGTATTTTGCTAAATCATTTCTATACATTCACTAAGGTAGATAATCTAAAATCCTTTCTTGGAGAATGGACCTAATTGTGTGTGTACTGAAAAAGTAAAACCACTTTTCATAAAAAAATAAATATTACAGCTTCTTCAAAAATTGGTCAATTAGTGAGAATTCGCTGTACTCAGAAGTTCCAGCATGGCAAATGGTAATATAGTTAAGGATTCATAAAGTGCTTTAAAGCTGAAATGAATAGTCATGCCTCAAATGAAACTAGTTTTTAAGGACAATATGCTCTAAAAAAGTACCATAAAGCTCTAGCCCATTATTTTCTATCAAAACACTTAGACCAAGAAGCAGCAGTCACACCTTAAGATACAACAAGGGAAGAAAAGCAAAATTAGAATGTCCTAAGCTTTGACACAGTGACAGGAGTGATGGGAAAAAAAATAGGCACATAACTGCTCTTATACTCCTAGCAATACTGTCTTTTAAAATGAGACTAATAAAATCTCAACAGAAACTATGAGGTTTGTTCTATGCTCAAATAATGTTAACCACGATCTATCTTATAGCTATAGCCAGCTAAACGCAGATGACAACACCTGTGAATTATTAATACTTTTATGTTCTAGTCAGACATAAAGCTTACCTCCCACAAATGCCCCATCCTCATTGTGACCAATGGCACATGTTTATAAGAAGGCTGTGTCTGGGGCTGCAATCTGTGGCTACAAAATTAAGCAAAGCTAAAAACCCATAATCTTTGCCTACTTATTAGAAAGCACTCTACTCAAGTGAGTCAATCAAGTCAATCAACTAAGTTCACCTAAACATACCTGGGATCTGGAACTTAGTGCATTGAACATGTCAAAAAACACAAAGCATGTGAAGGTCATTGTTGTGTCTCGAGGTGTAATCACATTGTCTCGTAGCTGTCAAGAGGCAATAACAAAATTACTTTTCAGTGGCTGAATTTAATGGATAAATCGCTGCTTTTTAAAAAATATAAACATTTTCTTTCCATTAGGAAGAAATAACTTTAGCCTAACACATGAAACATAAAAGCTACCTAAATTTCCTATAAATCACCTAGTGAATAGCTGTAATCTACATAATAAAAAGTAAAAAAAAAACTTCTCATGAACTATGTATTAGATATTAAAATACTGTTATTATTTAAAAATAATAAAGTGGCTCTATGATTTTAAGACTCAGATTTTCCAACTTCTCTCTAAATTTTCATGTATTTTTATTGTAACTGATACTTCTCTGCAGATTTATTCTAATACATGAATCAATAATTTTATTTATCCATAAAGATGGAAATCAAACTCTTTTAAAATGTTCTTATATTTTTCACTAAAAGAGCTCCCTTAACTTCCCAGCCTTCTGGGTAACCCATCAAAATAACTAAGAATCCTATCAGATATACAGAATTCATGTTAATATAGCAGCTTGGCCAGTGAATATACCTCACGCCAGAAGACAAACAAAGTCCCACAAACAATGATTATTGATGAAACAAGTATTTTAAGTATCAAGTTTTTAGTCAAAATGCTGTCTTTCCAGTTGCGAGGAGGTTTACGAATGACATCTTTATCCACTGGTTCTACTCCAAGGCTTAAAAACAAACAGAAAAATAAATTACTTTCAAGTTTTAAGGTCTGGATTTGTTACTTTCACAACCTCACTAACCTCAATTATTCGGCAAACTAAATGCTTTCTTATAGAAACAAAATGTTGCATCATAAAACGCTGGCTGATTACGCAAAAATAACCACTGATTTTGTCACTTTTTCTCTCCTCTTTATTTGTTTGGCACAATTTGATAGGGGATAGATAATCAACTTTCAAAAAACCATCCAATTCATTTACATGTAAGTTTACCTATTTCAAATACGGTGTGAAATACATGACCTACCGACTGAATTTTGAAATATCTTTCATATAAAGAGGTTTTAACTGGGATGATTTGCTGGAGTGGCCAAATGACATCTATCACTCAACTACCCCATTATTATTAAATTTTTTAAAAAAGTTATGACACTCAGGTCCTCTAATACTTTCCCAAAGTCTCTAAAACTGACAGTAGAACCTAGATAATAAAACTGAACCCAGAAATTTCTCCATTATACCCATTTCTTAGAAATAAAAGGCTTACTTACTTCCTGAGGACAGGGATAGCACCTATTCCTGATCTATTCTCAACCTTAGGCTAGGCATCTAACAGTGGAAAGGCTCAGATCTACACTGCATGCACACTCAAAAAGAATTAATAAAATACACACATCACACAATTTATAACATAAATGTTAAAACATTTGCTGCAAAGTTTTCCAACACTGTCCATAAATCAAGTTTTAAAACTTAATTATCAGGGTAGTACACATTCCTTGTCTTTCCAGCTCATGCAATTAAAAAACTCGTACCTCTGAGCTGGGGGTCCATCCATAATAATATTGATCCACAAAATCTGCATGGCATTGAGAGGATTAGGAAAGTTCATTAATGTAGCCAATGAGATTAAAGTTAATGCTGCTATACTCCTGTTGAAAAAGAGAGTCATTTAAAAATATCAGTAGAGTAAATCTGTTGATTCTATGATACCACTTTTTTAGCATTTAAAAATCTCTTACTACTATGCTTTTAAAGGAAGACTGTTTCAAGTAAACTATTCTTCAGTCACGTGGACATTTTAAAGCTAAGAGTATTTTAACAAAGGATTTTCAAGATGTTTAGACAACAGGAACAAATAAAGAATTTTTACATCTGCATGATAGTTTCAACAATATTTTGGTAACTGTTCTTTGACTACACAATACCCCTTCTACTTTTGGAAAAAGATACCAAGAGGAAACAATGAGATGTGAGCTATTAAATAAATCACAAAGATTTATACATTTTGATGATACAGACATCTAACTGTTACATTTACAACCTATTTATCATGCCATTTAAAATTTCAGAATACAATAAATTTTCTTTTTGGAAAACTGACATATGAACAATGCTCACAAATATAAGGCAGAGAAGTTTCTAGGCATTCTGCTTAAGTTCTACTTTTCATATAATTTATCCAGAAGACCCATGGTGACAAATTTCTTGCAAACTTACGTGCTCAGCTGGAATCTAACGAAATTTTTAATGTTATTATAAATCCCTTTACCCTCTTCGATTGCAGACCTGAAATTTAAAAAATAAAGATGAAGTGAGAAAATATTATCATACAAAAATGTATCTATACTAAAACACTGTAGAGCTAATTTTGAAAATAAATTTCCAACCGGGCACTGTGGCTCATGCCTGTAATCCCAGCACACTGGGAGGCCGAAACTGGCAGATCACCTGGGGTCACGAGTTCGGACCAGCCTGGCCACCATGGTGCAGCGAAACTCCGTCTCTACTAAAAATACAAAAATTAGCCGGGTGTGGTGGCGCATGCCTGTAATCCCAGCTACTCGGGAGGCTGAGGCAGGAGAATCGCTTAAACCCGGGAGGCGGAGGTTGCAGTGAGCCAAGATCACACCACTGCACTCCAGCCTTGGCAACAAAGTGAGACTGACTCAAACAAACAAACAAATAAATAAAATAAAATTCCAACTAATACAACACATGTATCAATATGGAAACATTTATTTTAGCAAAGAATTAAAGTCAAGCCTAAGCTCTACCTGAACTAATTTGTCACAATATTAAAATTCTTATTCTGAAGAAGATACTTCAACATTAAAATCATGCATTGTCTCTTCACACAAGAGAAAATACTTCACATTCATAATACATAAAATGATTATCTTTTTTTTTTTTTTTTGAGACAGGGTCTTGCCCTGCTTCCCAGGCTGGAGCGCAGTGGCACAACCTTGACTTACCTGCAGCCTCGACCTTCTTGGCTCAAGCAATCCTCCAGCTCAGCCTCTAGAGTAGCTGAGACCACAGGCTCACATCACCACTCCCAGCTATTTTTTTTGTATTGTTTGGAGAGATGGGTTTTGACATGTTGCCTAGGCTGGTTTCGAACTCCTGGGCTCAAGTGATCCATCCACCTCAGCCTCCCAAAGTGCTGGCATTACAGGCATGAGGTACCCTGCCCAGCCATGATTATCTTCTTCACCTTCCTCTAAGCTCATTTTTCTTAGTGGTACAAAATGCAGAGTAAAGGTTTAAACTAATGCATGTCAGGAATCAAATGGCAATGAGATATATAGGAATTATAGAATTTAAGCTACGTGTTGCTCCTGCACATCAAGTAGATCACATGTTGCAGAGGAATTAAATGAAGAACATGGTTTACAAGGATTCATATAAATTATCTCATTCATTTAGCTGAATCCAGGAAAATCTATGCTTTTTAATCAACTCCCCATTTCTTCTAAGATTTCTATATAATTATAATAATGGAAAGAAAAAACTCATATCCTTGCAAAAGCTTGGCAAATACTGTGAGTCCTAAGCTCCCAAATGTTTCCCTGTAGGCCAAAACAGAGTAATAAAGCAGCCTGGAACATATAATTGGAATTTATCACTAAACTCAGGTCATCCAACAGGTAGCTACCAAAAAAATAAATAAATAAATAAATGGGATTCACATGATCCCCACCTGAACACTGTGAAACTGACACCACCATGTATTACACTGGAGTCTTAAATCAACTGGAAACTGTGGCTGACACAAATAGAGCTATTTAAATTTAATAAATTATAACATTAAATGAGGGCAAGATGAATAAATTACTGATATAAAAAACAGGTATGGATGTAAACTTCATAATTTTCAATATTTATTATAAAGCCAAAAAAAGAGCCATACATATGCATATTTCTAACTACCTGAATTTAACTAAAATAAAGGCCATTACTATACCATCATATTAGTGCCCAGAAAAAGGTGAAATGTGGCTGGCACTTGGCAAATACTTCTTAAATGAGGGTCCTGCCATTTACTATGCCTGTTCCAGCCACACAAATCATCTTCTTCATACCATAAAATAGGATAATTACCCTAGAAAAGTGGTTTAGTTTACCTAATGTTTAAATACTAATTCTTTTCCAGTTGAATTCTCTAGGGGTGGGGGACAGGAAAGGATAGGGGAAGATTCTCTGATAGGCATTCACTGAAACAAAGCTTACATTATGGTTTGAAAATCATCATCCACTAGGATCATGTCTGCTGCCTCTTTGCAAACATCTGTACCAGTCTGGCCCATCGCAACTCCAATGTCTGCAGCCTTCAGAGCAACTGCATCATTTACTCCATCTCCTGTCATGGCTACAACTGAACCGTTCTTCTGTAGCGACTAGAGTGGAGCAGAGGACAGGGGAGAGGAAGGAATTTTGATAAAAATGTTGCTTCCATACAAAGCGATAAACAAATCCTCCCTATTTTTTTCACATAATTAAGATTAGAAATAATATAGACCACCCATTGTTCAATGAACTTCAACAAATGGAGATCTCAGTAAGATAAAGCTTAGAAAAAGTTGCTACTAATATTCCCATCTGTGAGAACTGTATCTCTAAATTCTGTTCTTCAAACAACTATACAATGATTCTCAACCAGGGGCAATTGTGTCTCCCAAGGGACATCTGACAATGTGTGGAGATGTTTTGGACTATCAGGATTTGGGGGATGTTACTGGCACCTAGTGGGAAGGGGCCAAGAATGCTGCTAAACATTCAATAACATATGGGGCAGCCCTTCACAACAAGGAATTATCCAGTCCAAAATGTCAATGGTGCCAAGGTTGAGAAACTCTGAACTACACAATGGCTGGCTATCATAACTTAAGACCATTAACTACTGGATACTCTATCAGTTGGTTTAAATACATTTGACTAATTAATATAAATAATCATAGCCTTTTAAGCACTGTTCACACTGTCACAACACTATTTCCTTGCTGTATTTATTTAGTTTCTAACTAATTACTGCTATTTACGCTGGGATGACTCGGCTATGGACCCCAGTTAGAACATTGTTTTATACTGTCTAACTGTTTAAAGAAGGCTGTATTTGCAGATACTTCATTCAAGTTTTCTTCTACATCTTATGCCAACTAAATTCTCTATTAGTGTTTCTATGTCAAGCTCTTACAAAAAAAAAAAACTGTTTTGCTTCACAGTATTTCTGACCTTGATGCTCTACTCCCTGTAATGCAAACATAACAAAAGTAAAGTAGCAGCATTTTGTATACAGAAATAAAACAATCTGATTCTTACACACTCACCTTAATAATTTTCATCTTGTGCCTTGGGCTAGCTCTGTAAAATACTGCAACCTGTTAAAATACAAGATACACTAAAAATCTTCAATATTAAGATTTCTACAGAATAACCCATGCATTCATAACTAATGATGAAAAACTCATCAATTTAAGCTGTATTTAATTTGCCACTGAGATCAAGCTTAAGCAATATGACATATGTTTGTTAAGACATTAATCTGACATGGTCATTTCAATCTTTACCAAAGGTACCACAGGAAATACACAATCTAAACAAGTCATCCAATTTATATCATTATGTGTAAACTCTGGAAAGAAAACAGCCTTATTCTTGAAATGTTCCAGAGACAAAAAAAGGAAAAATTCTCTTGCGTCTGTTTCCTATGACACTCGCATACAACTAAAATAGCCTTTTCCCTTTGTTCTGTCTTCAGGAGCAATAAAGAACAGCTGCTTCTCAGTGTCTGTAGAGCCATTTTTTACAGTGTCAAGTGTCTGCTCATTCCCTTTTACTCAGGTTAACTCATTAGCCTCTCTTCCACTGTACTTCTAAATTGCTTATATGATTTTTATCTCTCCAAAATAAATATTTAATCCTTTTTTCTGACCCCATCTCCTGATCTAAAATCGTTTCACTGTGTTCCAACAAATCTCCTCTATTTTTTACTCTTTTTCACTTTGCTCTAACCTAGTGTTTCCACAAAACACTACCATCCCTATAACCTCCTCAAATAGTACTTTGCTCTAACCTAGTGTTTCCACAAAACACTACCATCCCTATAACCTCCTCAAATAGTACCACTGGGGGAGCCTACAGGTGGAACACGGTATCCGCTATTCTCCCTTCATAAAACCTCAGTTCTGAATGTCAGATGAGACTGTAACTCACTAACTGTAAGCATTCACTGCTCCGGAGTTCACAGCCCCTCATTTCACAATGATTTTAACTTCTGCCTCACTACCATGTCACTCTCTCCAACAATATTTACAAGTTATGGTGATTTCAATATACATAATACACCATTCTCTTTCCTATTCTCCTAGAGGATTAGTTCATATTAGTTTTCTCTCCTCGTACCTGCAATCTATCCCCTTTCTCTAGCCTCCTTCTCAGCCGACCACCTTGCTTCCTACTTTGGAGAAATCAGAATCAGAAGAGAATTTCCACAATTCCCCCAACTCAGTATCTGTATCCAGGAACTAACCTCTGGTTTTACTACAGATGAACTCAATATGCATCTACTGCAGGTCAAAGATTCTACCTTCTTACCTATTAAGACCATTACTCCAGAAATTCTCCTCCCTCCTGTGCCAAAATGTTTTCCTCACTGCTATATCTTTACCGTCAGTATACAAAAACATGTTGTCCCTTCCATATAAAAAAAGAAAGAAAAACCACTTCTCTTCCCTTCCCATTTCAGCTGCCACCCTTTCCCTTTTTTTTCTTTATTTTTTTTAAATGGAAGAGGAAACATGTTTGTATACTGATGGTAAAGTGCAGCAGCAAGGAAAAAATTTTGATATAGGAACGGGGAGGATTTTTGGAGCAGAGCTCCTTAGCAAGTAGCCTATACTTGCTGTCTCCCATTCTCTCTGAATCCATCCCATGATCATACTGTTACCACAACTGCAGTGAAACACGATTCATGACTTTCAAAGACCTGCACCACCACCACCACCACCACATTGCTAATGCCTACAGTCATTTCTCATCTGACTTAATCTCTCAGCCGCACCCTAACGTAGCTGATTAGTCCCTCCTGAAACACCATCTTCCCTTGGCTTCCACTACCACCGATACTGGTCTTCCTCCTACCTTTTTGGCTGTTCCTCTTGTACAGACTTCTCCTGATCCCTCTTGATGCCTAGATGTTGGAGCACCCCAGGGCTCAGTTCCTTTCTCTATAAGAGGTCTCAGAATTCCCTACGCCTCAGGTGAGCATACCCAGGCACATGGCTTTGGATTTTACTTACATGCATTTTTTTGAATGCATTTTTATCTCAAGCCCAGACATTTCTTCTGAAATCCAGATCAGCAAAACTAATTCCCATCCCTACTTCACATTTCCTCTTAGATGTCTCAATCTTGCTCCTTCCTATCCTCTGTTAGTGAAAAGTACATATGTGCAGTTGCTGAGGCTCCAAATTTTGGGAGCCAACCTTAATTCCTCCATTTTTCTTATGTGCCAACAAGCAGTTTGACAGCGAATCTTGTTGACTCCACTCACAAATATATCCAGAATTCAACCACCTTACTCCAAAACCATTGCCCACACTCTGGGCCAATACCTCCAAACTGATTTTCTTATTTCTGCCCTAGTTTCCTGCAGTCAATTTGCAACACAGTAGCCAGAGTGGCACTGTTAAAACAGAAGTGAGATCGCGTGTCTCTTCTCAAAACCCTCAAATGATTTCACATCTCTCTCAAAACAAATGCCTAAGTCCTTTATTATCTACCGGGTCCCTCATGAAGTTCACACCTCACTGCACTCCTATCATTAATCTTTTCCTGACTGAACTACATTGGCCTCCTCGTTGTTCCTCACACATGCCAGGCACACTCACTTCCAGCCTCTGCCCTTGTCTGGAATGCTCTTTCCTCGGATATAACATGGGTCCCTCTTCTGTCAAATAGTACCTTCTCAGTGAGGCCCTCCCTAGTCTTACTATATAAAAATTTCAATCTCCCTCTCTTATCATTCAAATTTTGCCTTTTTTTGTGGGGGGGGGGGTTGCTCTTAAGCACTTATTTAACATTATATTCATTTATCTTCTAAGACTCATGAAGCCAGAGATTTTTGTCCTATACCAACAGCGCTCTATAAAGACAAATAAAATGAATGAACAACTGAATAAATCTCAGTACTACCATAAAGACTGTTCCCTGGTTCTCTCCTTTAATAAAGGTCTAAATAAAAAAAGTATTATTTTCTTAAACAAAAGACTCAGCTGCACTGTAATATCACACTACTGATTATCCCTAGGCAATCCAAATATCATGAATCACATAACTTATATTTGGGAAATATCCTTTCTTTCAAAAAAGTTCAAAAATCCATTCAGAAACTCTTCAGTGTGCCTTTAAAAAAAAGACTGAGTTACACATATATCCAAAACATACTGGTAACCTTCCAAGTGAAAACTCTAATTACTGCAGAAATTAATCATGTAGCACACAGCACTGAAATATAACAAGTGTTTGGCAAAAGCTGCAAAATAAGTTAGCGAATGAAAGGTTGTGACTGTGAGTTGTCCATGTACTTCATGTGTTGAACAAAGAATTGAACAAAACACACAAAGGAACAAAAGAACGAAGCAACAGAAGTACAAACTTATTGAAGCAAAAGTACACTCCATAGAGTAGAACGGGCTCGAGCAAGCGGCTCATGAGTCCCAACTACAATGTTCTTTAGGGTTTGTGTTTTTTTTTTTTTTTTTTGAGATGGAGTTTCGCTCTTGTTGCCCAGGCTGGAGTGCAATGGCGCAATCTCGGCTCACCACAACCTCCTCCTCCCGGGTTCAAGCGATTCTCCTGCCTCAGCCTCCCAAGTAGCTGGGATTACAGGCATGCACCACCACGCCCAGCTAATTTTGTATTTTTTAGTAGAGACAGGTTTTCTCCATGTTGGTCAGGCTGGTCCCGAACTCCCAACCTCAGATGATCTGCCCACCTTGGCCTCCCAAAGTGCATTACAGGCATGAGCCACCACACCCAGCCGTTTTTTTGTGTGTTTGTTTTTTTGTTTTTTTTTTTTTTGAGATGGATTTTCGCTCTTGTAGCCCAGGCTGGAGTGCAGTGGCGCAATCTCGGCTCACTACCTCTGCCTCCTTGGTTCAAGCAATTCTCTGCCTCAGCCTCCCAAGTAGCTGGGATTACAGGTGCCCGCCACCATACCCAGCTACTTTTTGTATTTTTAGTAGAGACGGGGTTTTACCATCTTGGCCAGGCTGGTCTTGAACTCCTGACCTTATGATCCACCAGCCTCGGCCTCCCAAAGTGCTGGAATTACAGGTGTGAGCCACCGTGCCCGGCCTAGGGTTTTTATTAAGTTAAAAGAATTTGGTAACACTACCAGATGCCATTTAGAGGCCTCCAATTGGTTACACCCTATGAAGGATTAGCCTGTGACCAATCAGAGACTGAAGTGGAGACTTGGTCCCCAGCCAATCAGAGGCTGAAGTGGAGACTACTGTCTTGTTATCACAGGATTAAGGATGTGGCCTAAATGCTGCCTAATCTTGCCTAGAACTGGCTGCATCTACTGTTCTTTTACTTATGCCTTAACCCTTGATTACCCTAATTCCCTATTCTGCCTCATTTCTCCGAGAGACATGATCCCCATAAATCTTTATGGGAGGCAGAGGCACTGAGGATCAATTTTCTGTAGCTGCTTCTTGCTGGTCGTGGGTGTCATCCCTGCCTATTGGGGATCATGGCTGTCCCGAAGTTAGATGGGTATCCGTGGGTTGCAGTGAGCCTTGTACTTGGTGGTAAAAGGTGCAGCTGGCTTGATCCAGTTGTGACAGTTGGGTATTTTGGCCTGATTTTAGATTTGGAGGAAGAGATAAAAATCATCAAAGAGAGTAGAACAAGGCCACATATTTTCAGAAGCAATCTACAAGGGGTATTTTTCTCTTCTTATGAGTCCTCCTTTTCAGTGTCACATTTGTGGTCAGCACTCACAGTTCTTTTGATGGAAATTAATAGACAAGATGTACTAGGGAAAGGAAGTTACAAAAAAAAAGAAAGGAAAATATTAAAGGAGAGATTAATGGAAAAGATGTGTCTTGCATTAGAATAACCTACCGAAGATCCTCAAATCTTCTAGGACAGATTAAAGAAAACTAATGCACTGAAGAAAAAACAAGTGATTGAAATAAAGGTTTACAACCTATTAAAAATTAGACTATATGAATTGTGATAATAATATGGGGACTTGGTGAATAGATTCAGTAGAAATATAAATGCAAGTAATGCTGTAAAAATCAGAAAAAGAAGAATGAAAGAGGATGACCACTTCTATCAATGGATCAATGGAAAATGTAGGACACACTAGAAAAAGTCATAAATGGAAAACACTGAGAATTCCCAGATGACTTAATAACAAGCAAAACTGAGATTCAGT
This sequence comes from Homo sapiens, assembly GCF_000001405.40. Taxonomy (NCBI): domain Eukaryota; kingdom Metazoa; phylum Chordata; class Mammalia; order Primates; family Hominidae; genus Homo; species Homo sapiens. Next base: position 130,987,878 of record NC_000003.12, on the reverse strand, counting down.
ACTACTTTTTAACTGGCTCTAGGTCAAAGTACATAGCAACACTTCATATTCCAAAAGGAGAATGAAATGTGTTCAAAAGAATTATGAAAAAGGATGGCTGAAAAATATTTTAATGAGGGGCACAATTAATATGATTCTAGTACATGGGGGAAAATGTCAACAAGCTAATGATTTAGAACAAAAGGTCTGTTTTATTTGTAACAATAATAAAAGTTATTCAAACTGATGTGAAGCAAAAGCAGCAAACTGTCTGAGTGCAGTGGCTTATGCCTGTAATCCCAACACTTTGAGAGGCCAAGGTAGGAGGATCACTTGAGCCCAGGAGTTTGAGACCAACCTGGGCAACACAGCAAGACCCCATCTCTATAAAAAATAACAAAATTACCTAGGCATGGTGGCATATGCCAGTAGTCCCAGCTACTCAGGAGACTGAGTCATGAGGGATCACCTGAACTGGGGAGATCACCTGAACCCAGGAGTTTGAGGTTGCAGTGGGCTATGGTCACACCACTACACTCTAGCCTAGTCAACAAAGCAGGAGACTCTGTCTCAAAAAACAAACAAAGGAAAGCAGAAGACGAGGCTACGTGCAGTGGCTCATGCCTATAACCCCAGCACTTTGGGAGGTTGAGGTGGGAGGATCACTTGAGCCCAGAAGTTCAGGACCAGTCTGGGCAACACGTGGTGAGACTCCATTTCTGCAAATCCTTTCTTTCAAAAAAGTTTAAAAATCCATTCAGAAATGGATTTTCTTTCTTTTTTTTTTTTTTTAATTACCCAAGCATAGTGGTGAGCACCTACAGTTCCAGCTACTTGGGAGGCTAAGGCAGAGGATAGCTTGGGCCCAGGAATTCAGGGCAGCAGTGAGCTATGATCATGCCACTGCACTCCAGTCTGGGCAATAAAGCAAAACACCATCTCTAAAACTAAACTAAACTAAACTAAACTAAACTAACTAAACTAAACTAAACTAAACTAAACTAAACTAAACTAAACTAAACTAAACTAAACTAATCAAAAAGCTGAAGGCCAAATAAACATATTGGCTATAAAAGGGTCACATGAACACAAAATGAAGTAGGGAAAAAGACAAGATGAGGGTGGGGGCCGTCCTGCTAACCTAATGAGACAAAAAATTCTCTAATAATATTTGGAGAAAAGACTTAGGTATTCAAAAGATACAAAATACCTGGGAGGCAGGGCTAGTATTTATAGAATTCCACTTTAAAGTAGGATGAATTTAAGCAATTCAACGAGCTTCTGACAGGGCTTAGGTCTTATTTTGTTTTAGTCTCCTTGGAATAGCATCAGGATATCTGCTATAATTAACGCACACACACTCTACTTGGGAAACCCCAACAATGTGATTTGTCCAGGCTGATGATGTAATTTGTAATTAGTTTCTTTCTTCCCTAACTATCTTTGGTTGGTTTCCAGAGTTCACCTTAATTTTTATAAGAGAGCCAGAGGACAAACTGAAGAAAGCAAATAAAATGAAAGTTTCACCACCTTTAGCATCTCTGAGAAGTTATGCAGAAGTCTAATGGTAAAATGTTTAAGTAACTGCAGATTTCACATACATTTACTAATACTCTGTCCCAATACCACTAAAAAAATCCAATATGGGATTTATTCAGAAATAAACTTCAGGAAGAGATTACCAGGATAGGACGTGCACCAAAAAAAAAAAAAAAGCCCTATTCAAATATATAAACACCTTCCCCACCCCAAAAACAAAGCAAACATCCACACTGCCCCAGCTCTCTGGGTGGCAGTGATCCCAACAGTCATCTATGATCCCAACATACTGGGATCATAATCTTGAAAGATGCAATACCAAATGCCATAATCCCAAATGCTGAAATCCCTAAAGATCAAAATCCCTAAAGTCTAAACTCCTGAAAATCACAATCACAGGATAGGAAAATTTAATAGAGAATGTTCATGTTAGTGTACATCGAATCATAGAATTTCAAAAACAGCAGTGCCACATAGAAAATGAATATGAACATACGCTGACAGCCATGTTCTTAAAGAAAAAAAAGCAACTACTCATCATGCTGCAAGACTTCAAAATATAGTTAATGATCGTGAAAGTCAGCCAGCTTTTATGGACTATCTCCATGCAACTGTCCATCATTTATCTCTGTAATATGCTTTTCCATGTCATATTTTCTTTTTAGGTTTTTTGCTGTTGTTGTTAATTTGGTTTTTTTTTTTGGTGGGGCGGGGGAGGTGGGGTGGGGGAAGGAGTCTTGCTCTGTAGCCCAGGCTGGAGTGCACTGGTGCAATCTCAGCTCACTGCAGCCTCTGCCTCCTGGGTTCAAGCGATTCTCCTGCCTCAGCCTCCTTAGAGTAGCTGGGATTACAGGCGCCCACCACCACACCCAGCTAATTTTTGTATTTTTAGTAGAGATGGGGTTTCGCCATGTTGGCCAGGCAGGTCTCGAAATCCTGACCTCAGGCAATCCATCCACCTCAGCCTCCCAAAGTGCTGGGATTACAGCTGTGAGCCACCACACCCGGCCATTATTTTTCTTTTTTTAGTTTCCTTTTCCGCTATTTTAAATTGTGAGTATTATTTTTTACAATTTGCTATGCTATGTATTTCACCTTTGCATCATTTCCAACACTGGAAGCGTAAGTTATAGAGACTTAAAGGATTCTAATTTGTTTTATGCATGTTTTGCAAATCTGACTTCACGAAAGTGCATGATCACAATGTTGACTTTGTATGTAAGCACTGTACATGTATGTAAAAATGTTGAAACTTCCTCAATAAATGAACAGATGTCCTTTTCATACATCTGCATTTGTGAAAGATAAAAATGACCCACAGTTATAAAGTGGGGTGCACACAATTAGCAACCACAGTGATAGGTGTTTATGCATTTCCCTTATGACCTATTTCTTTATAAATACAGTTCATATGCTCATAACAGTCCTATGTTATATCTTTCTGTCATATAATATGCCTGAGTGTTTATGCTTGCAAATGCTTGCAAAACTATGTAGGTTATTTATTATTGCTTATTTTGTATAAAGTGACCAATGAAGCATTTTCATGTTTTTATGTTTCTCAAATAAATTCCTTCTTAAAAATGTAAATTATTTTATTTTAAAATTATTTTTTCCAGAATTAGATTTTTAGGATTTTGATCTTTGGGGACTGTGGTTTTTCAGGATTTTAAGACTTTATGGATTTCAATCTTTCAGGATTTCAACATTAGAGATTACATCTTTCAGGACTATGATTGGCTCTCTCTGAAAACAGCATTCATGAGTGATTAGAAGTTGAGAAATAAAAAATATGGATAAGCAAAATAGTGTATTTCTATTAGTAACAACATCCAAAATCTAACCACTTGCTAGAGGATGAGGGAAGTGGGGCTGGAGGTCTAGGGACTTAATGCTACTGTATGAAGTGTAGTTTATGGAAATATAAACAGAAACTTTTTCAGAGGACAATTCAGCAATATATGTTAACGGCCTTACAAATGTGTTGAACATTAGTCCAATCATTTCACATGCAGGAATTTAGTGTATAAAAATAATCAGATGTACATGGATAAGGGCAGTGGTAAAAAATAATAACAATAATAATAATAATCAGAGTTGGGTACATCTTAGGTTCAATAATATTCAAAGAAACAGCAAACAACAGATGAACTCTGGAGCATACAGACCTGGATTCCAGTTCCAATGCCAACACCACCACTTACTAGCTCTGAGACATCAGCCAAGTCTCCCAAGTACTGTGGGCCTCAATTTCCTCATCTATAAAAATGGAATTGCCTGTTTCTTAAAAAACTAAATATACTCTTACCATATGATCTGATTCAGCAACTGTGCTTAGTATTTACCCAAATGAATTGAAAACTTATGTCTACGCAAAAACCTGTATATGAATGTTTAGAGCAGCTTTATATATAATTGCCAAACCTGGAAGCAACTAAGATGCCCTTCAAAAGGTGAAGTGATAAACTGTGGCACTTTCATACAATGGAATATTATTTAGTGCTCACAAGAAATGAGCTACTAAGCCAGGAAAAGACATGGTGAAACCTTAAATGCATGTTGCTTAGTGAAAAAAATCCAGTCTGCAAAGGCTACATATGATATTATTCCAACCATACACATTCTGGAAAAGGCAAAACTACAGAGACAGTAAAAAGATCAGTGGTTGTCAAGGATTCAAGCGGAGTGGGGAGGGATGAAAACGTCAAACACAGGGATTTTCAGGGCAATGAAACTACCCTGTATGAAATTCTAATGGTGGAGCGAGACTCCGTCTCAAAAGAAATTGTAATGGTGGATATATGTCATTATGCATTTGTCAAAACCCCTAGAAAGGTACAACACAAAAAGTAAACCTTAATGTAAACCATGAAATAAGAATGTATCAATATTAGCTCATTAATTGCAATAAATATACTACAGTAATGCAGTCTATTAATATGAAGAGGAACTGTGTAAGAGTAGAGGGTAGAGATGGAGTAGGAATGTAGAACTCTGTGTTATCTGCTCAATTATTCTATAAATCTAACACTGCTAAGAAATAAGGCTTATTAATTATTAGAATTTTTAAAGCGGTGCTGCCTATCTTTCATAAGGTAGCTATAAGAAGTAAATTAGATAATGTAGGTAATACATGCATTGGCAGATAATAAATGGTTGCTATTGTCATTATCCTTAAAGGAACATTTACAGTAGTAAAAAGAATAGAAGCTCAAATTTCAACAGGAAAATGGTTATGTAACTCTCTCTCTCTATATATATATATGCATGCTATGCATTTATACACACATACACATGGTATACTCAAAATATTGTACAGCAATTAAAAACATGTTTTCTAATAATAATTGATTTCAGAAATGCCAAAGTTATGTAAAATGAATGTTCAGAATTATAACAGTATAAAGTAGCAACCAGGTTTTGTTAAACACATTTTTTTAAGTCATAATAGGTTAACTTATTATGGATACTCTGTGGATGCATAACCTGAGTGTGGGTTAGATTACAGACAACTTCTATTGTAGCTCTTACTTTTCTATATTATTTGATTTTTCTATGTTGAACATATACCACTAATGAATAAATTTTCTAATCAAAAAAGTATAGACATACCTTAAGATGCAGAAACAATTTAAGAAAATTCCACATTCTGAATATATAACTTGAAGTTGTAAGTGTAAAATAAATGAAGGAGGAGGTAGCACATTTTATTAGTAACAATGGATGGCTACAAAATAGCTAATAAAATAAATTCCAGATAAGTGCTTATTTTGAAGGACATACAAATAGATGTGCATATATAAGTTAACTAACAATAAAACCAAGAAATCTGAACTGTCAGCAACTGGGAAGACTGCTGCCCACCTCTTATGGGGCACTTCCTATGGGACCTGGGTATCCACAAACCAGGCTTTGATAGGCCCCTTACAAGGCAGCCCAAGATAATAAAGTAAGTTAATCTCATATCAGGGAACCTGGCTTTAAAGAAGCTACTGTGCTGTGGGGCAGGAGATACCTCCTTCCTACAAATAATTTGTTAGAAAAGCATTATAATCAAAAGTTAAAAAGTATTTCAATGGAAAAAGGACAGTCTTTTCAACAAATGTTGCTGGAATAACTGAACATCTATATGCAAAGAAAATAAACCGTAACCCATTACAACATATACAAAAAAATACACTCAAAATGGATCACAGACCTAAGTATAAAACCCAAAACTATAAAACTTCTATAAGAAAACACGAAGAAAATCTTTGTGAACCTGGGTTAGGCAGGGAGTTCTGAGATATCAAAAGCATAGTCCATAAAAGAAGAAATTGAAAAACTAGACCTAATCAAAATTAAAAGCTTCTCTCTTGGAAAAGACACACTACCAACTGGAAAGAAACATTTTCAAACAAATATCTAATAAAGGACTTGTATCCACATTATATAAAGAATGCTCAAAATTCAATAATTAGAAAACATAATTTTTAAAAAATAGGCAGGGCAGACACTTCACTAAAGAAGATATATGGATGGCAAATAAGCATATGAAAAGATATTCAACATCACTAGTTGTGAGGGAAACGCACATTAAAATCACAGTAAGATACCATTGTACACTTATCAGAATGGGGGAGGAGGGCAATGACAATCCCTTGTGCTAGTGAGGATGCAGGACTATTAGAAGTTCCAGGCACTGCTGGTGGGGTTGCAAAATAATAAAGCCATCTCGTAAAACAACTTGGCAGTTTCTTATGAAATTAAATATACATTAAGTGTATGACCCAGCAATTACTCACAGATATTTACCCAAGAGATATGAAAATGTATTTTCATGCAAAATAAATTTGTGTACAAACTGCAAAAGCCTGTACACAAATGTTGACAGCATCTTTATTCATAATCATCAAAAAGTGGAAACAATCTAAATGTCCTTTAACTGGTGAATAGGTAAGGTACACCTATAATAGAATATTACTTTAAAAAACAACAACAAACTACTAATACACACAACCAACATAGATAAATGTCAAATGCATTATGCTAAGTGAAAGAAGCAGATTCAAAAGCCTCATTCATATGGTATGATTCAATTTTTAGTGCATTCTAGAAAAGGTAAAGTGGCAGAGACAAAAAAAGAATTAGTGGCTGCCAAGTCCTGGAAGTAGGGGGAGAAGGTACCACAAAAAGGCCTAAGATAATCTGGGGGGATGATGGAACTGTTCTATATCTTGATTGTGGTGGTGGTCACAAGACTGCATGCATCACTCAATGTTCAGAACTATACACTAAAATGGGCGAATTTTACTATATGTAAATTGTACCTAAAAAAAATCACATACTCATGCTAAAATTAAAATTGAACAAAAGAGTAAGAAGTATAAATCAATGATCTCTCTCCATCCTCTAATTCATAAATACAAGCACTATTAATTTCCACAGTACTTTTCTCAGAGGAAATCTGGTTCTTGCTAAAATTAATAATTTTGCACTGATATTCATAAACATCATATCATAAATAATCAATGATAAGACTAATTCAATGATAAGACTTCATTTCAGGATTTGAACCAACAAATCTGGTGGTTATTTAAATCCCTGATGTTCACAATTAAACAGTTTCATTAAGATAGTAGTAGAAATGGTAACACTTAGAATAAGGCCTTTCAGTCCAAAAGGCTTTAGTTTAGGCCTACCTTTGGTACTATTTGTGAAAGCTGCTGAACATCCATTGCATCTATTTCTTCTCCTGAGACTGACTGGGAAGTTTTGGAATACAATCCCAGACGACTGGCTAAAGCAAATGAGAGAGAAAATGTAATAAACCAAATTGTTTTTGCTTGACAGGCTAGTCAACGTAATGCTCATTTAGTATGATTTGTTATCTGTTCTCTTTTGTTACCTACCAGTAATACAAACCTATCTGAATCAGTATTAAGTCTGGAGTTTTATGTTTGACTTTCATTTTTGTTTAAATTTAAGAATAAAGAATTTTCAAGGCTGGCCACGGTGGCTCAGGCTTGTAATCTCTGCACTTTGGGGCTACAGGATCACTTGAGCCCAGGAGTTCAAGACCAGCCTGGGCAATATAGCAAGACCCTGTCTCTACAGGAAAAAAAAAAAAAAAGAATTTTGACTATTTAAGCTAGCATACCTAAGAATCGAAACTAGGCCAATCAGGTTCTGCTCAGCAGCTGAAATGTAACGAAGATCAGAGTGCATTTTAAGTACAGTGTCCGAAGCCAGACAAAATGGTGGTGGATCTGTGGTAATCATGTAGTTATACATAAATGAAAATAAACATCGAAAAGTTATTCTTCCAATAATATAATGTTCCTAGTGACCTGTTCTTAGACAATATATAGTTTGAAACTCCTGGACTAGCCCCTCTCCAAATAAGAATTAATGGAGTTTAGCCAACTGTTAAATTTATCAGTATGAATTACAGTTTAGAGGCTCTGGGAAATTAACTTTCATTCTCTTCTTCGCTCTTATTCTACTTCTTACGGTAATCTTAAATAGCATTCAAATATAGGTATACATGATGAAAAACAAATACATATAACAAGCTATTTTCTGCCAAATTATGCACAAGTCTGCTTTGAAAATTATACTTAAGTTGAAAGGAAAAACTAAGTTTCATGTTTCCTTTGACAATCATGATCTAGTGCTTTTACTCTGTCATCACAGTTGATCATGAGATTAAAAATAATTACCCTTCTGTGAATAAAATGCATGTGATTTCATGATTTAGTTATGCATGTCAAAGTTATTACTTTTTAAACTATAATCAGTTTTGCCAACTTTATATAGACCATGAGCAAAACCATGAGTCGATTTCAATTGCATAATCTCAATATTACATAAACATATTCATAACTAATAGTTCACAAAATTATGCACCACAGTATTTTAAGAAAAACTATCGAAAACAAAAGAAAGCAGTCTAGTTATACCGATTGCAACTGCAGTCTCCTGTGAATCTCCAGTAATCATTTTTATTGATACTCCTGAGGCAATGAGTGTTGTAACAGCTTCTTTCACACCAGTTCTAGGTGGATCAATGATTCCCACCAAGCCAAGAAATGTCAGCTGTCCCAGTTCAGGACCAGAAGCCAAAGCAAGAACTTAGGAAATAATAAAATCCAAACAACAACAAAAAAAAGTGAGTCATGAAAACATCAGAATTTAGTTGATAGAAATTGGAGACAGTAACACTTCTTAAATAAATCACTTAAGACTATAATGTCATTTGTAAAATCAAAATGATTACAGACCAAAACATTATAGTTTAATGGTTCTGGATAAGGGGTCCCTTTAAGCTGTTTTAATTAAAAAGAATCAAACTAAAGAACTGAAGGGCAGAGTAGGCAAGAGACAGAAAATGAACAATATTTTCACATAGTAATCACATGCAGCTACTTTCAACAGGAACTCTACCTCTTTAAAAAATAGAATTAATTATTTAGAGAAACTATGGGTTTGTTAGGCTTTAAAGTCAATTTTAAACAGGCAAACACCTTTGAAGGTGGCTTCTAACGGATCTTCATCTTTCCATTTCCAAGATCTCCAGAAAAATTAAACACTCTGAAGAGAAGGCTGTATTAGTTAATTATACACAGCCTGTAACAACTTTGTACATGAAAACTCCTGGAAGGTAAAGCTAATTTGGAAAGTGGTTGTAAAACCATTAATACCAACAATAGTTTGGATTCTTTTACTCCTTCCATAACATGAACAGACATTTCTTATTTGTAACGTTGGTTCTCTAAGAGTATGTAAATAACGCCATCATATTATTATTTCTACTTATTTCCCTGTCATCATCCTTGGGCATGTAAGATATAGTACAAAGTACTTTTCATTTCCCAAATATCATTTAGCTTGCTCTCAGAATTATGGAACTCCGGAAACTACTTTTATTAACCAAAGGGATGTGCCTGCATCTGAGATATTAGACTGAACAACTTGTAACATGCACATACAAACTAAACATAAATAAGTCAAGAGGAGACTGAAAAGCCCCAGAGAGACCAAAGAAACTATCCATTCTTCGTCAAGCAGAAGGTATGAA